>NC_000002.12:23570361-23721876 GCF_000001405.40 Homo sapiens | reverse complement strand
GTGTGTGCACATGGTGGGACAGCCAGCTTGGGGTCGGGCTCCCTGTGTTGGTCACTTGGCTGGCCTGGGGGCAGGCCCACAAGGCTGTTTTTCAGGCTTGGGACACAGCCGCATGACTGCTCAGTTGGCCTGGAGACATGTCTGCTGACCGTGGCCCATGGGACTGTTTCTCTGGCTTAGCATGTGGGCATACAGCTGCTTGGTTGGCCTGGAGTCTGTCTTCTGGGTGGTGGCCCAGAGGGCTGCTTCTCAGGTCTAGGATATGGTAGGATATTGTTGCACAGCTGCCTGGCTGGCCTGGGGGTATGTCTGCCTGGGGCAGCTCATGGGGCTGTTTCTTAGGCCTGGGATGTAGGCACACAGCTGTTCAGCTGGCCTGGGGATGTGTCTGCAGGGGGTGACCCATTGGGCTGTTTCTTAGGCCACGGACATTGGTGCACAGCTACTTGGCTGGCCTTGGGGCTTAACCTCCAGGGGCAGCCTATGGAGCTGTTTTTCAGTCCCGGGTATGGGCACATAGCTGATCAGCTGGCCTGGGGCCATTTCTGCCAGGGGCAATCCGTGGAGCTGCTTGTCATGCTCTGATTGTGGGCATAGGGCCATTAAGCAGGTCAGGGACTTGTCTGCATGGGGTGGGGCACCTGAGGGCTATTATGTTGGCCCTGGGTGCAGGCGTTTAGCTGCTCTGCTGGCCTGGAAATGTGTCAGTTGCTTGGAGGCTTGAGGGGTAGGGCACATAGCAGTTTGGCTGGCTCAAGAGCAGTTTCACCCTGGGCAGGACTCCCACACTGTTCCTCTGGCTGGAAGTGAGGATGGTGGGAGTCAGTCTCCTACTGTGCAGGCCCAGTGTTACAGCTGATGCTGGGGCTTTATGCTGCTGGGATGTGGTGGAATGAAGATGGAGCCCTGGTGCTGGAGAGGTGCAGTGGCTACTGGCCTGCAGAGGAGGGTGCACTTCAGAGGTGGCTCTGGTCTCAAGATGGTAGAGTGCTACAGCAGCTTGGCTCACAGTGGGTGAGGGTGGGGGTGTGGAGGGCACACTTTGTGTTCCTAATCTGGGGCAGTGCAACTGGATGAATTCCAGGCAGCTCTCCAAACTGGGAGACTGTGGGATTCTCTTTTTGTAAGGACTGCAGGCATCAGCAGTGGCAGTGGGGTTGATGGGGATCTTCTGCTTACCTTTTCCCTGTGATGGGAAGTCCCTCCTGACTCCAGGCGGATCTGATTTGGGCAGGGGAGACAGGGCTGCAGACACTGGGTGCCTCCACGCTGCCCTCTTAACTTTTTTTTTTTTTTTTGAGACGGAGTCTCGCTCTGTCACCCAGGCTGGAGTGCAGTGGCGCAATCTCTTATAGAGATCTTGCAACCTCTGTCTCCTGGGTTCAAGTGATTCTCCTCCTTCAGCCTCCTGAGTAGCTGGGATTACAGGCATGTGCCATCATGTCCAGCTAATTTTTGTACTTTTAATAGAGATGGGGTTTTACTATGTTGGCCAGGCTGGTCTCAAACTCCTGACCTCAACTGATCCACTCTCCTCAGCCTCCCAAAGTGCTGGGATTACAGGTGTGGGCTACCACACCTGGCCTGCCCTCCTGGACTTTTGATCACCATAGGTAGGTCTACACTCCTCTGCTGTACTCCAGCACTCTCCCTTTGACACTCCAGTCAATTCTTAGCTGTTTATTTGTTGTTTTTGCCCTTTCTTGTGGGAAGAATGAATGCCAGGTATTTCTAGTCAGTCATCTTGCTCCTGAGCTCAGAGGTTTTTTTGCTGCTAGGTCACTGCCTCCTTTCTGGCTTTTAGTGGCACCTTAAGCCCAGGTTTACCTCAGCCCTAGTAAATGATTGGAGAGCTGCCCTTTCAAATGAGGGAGGTCCCAAAGGGGATATCCAGAACGTGTGGGAAGGTTGGCTAAGGACTCGTGCCCAGGGGACGTGTGGGATGAACCTCCTACAGCATGGCGCTGCTTAACAGACATTTGCTTTGGTGTCTCATTTGGCAGAGTTACAGAGCAGTTTCCAGGGCTGGGGATGTCCTGCCTTCCCACTTTGTCTCTGCCAGTCCTCAGGGATATTTCTCCCTTTAGGTACTTGTGATGCTTTCTGTGGGTTAAGATAAGGACAGGACTCCTGCCAGGAACGTAAGATGGTGGGGAAGCTGGTTGTCCACCTTAATCTCACTTTTCCTGGTGTAGAAACAGTGAGTTGGGGGGAAGTTTTCCACGTGCTTGGTGCCAGGCAGAATGGGGGAAAGGGTGTCATGGATGTGGAAGTCCTATTCTCTTACCATCTGCTTGGAGGTTTTTCACTTCTCTGCAATCCTGAGAACTGTCTCATTTTCATATATGAGTTCTGGGATATTTCTGGTGATGGTCTTGGCACTGTATATTTGTTTTTGGTTTTCTGGATGGAGTGGGGGAAGTGAAACAAGCTTGCTTCTACGCTGCCATTTTGGAGCTGAGAATTTCTTTTAAAGTTTTTAATTATTTCAGCATCTGAGCAGTCTTGTGGTTGGCTTTCTTGATTGCTTTTCCTCCTTAGGGTTGTTTAATGTATTCCTAGTTCCTTGTATGTCAAGTCATTTTGGATTGTGTCCTGAACATTTTGAATATTCTTTATGCTGTTCTGGGCCCTGTTACAGTCTTGGGAAGAAGGCTGACCTTTTTTGTTTTAGCAGACAGTCAACTCGGCTAGGTCCAGACCAAAAGTCCTGGCCTAGTTCCTGTGGGCTGTGTTTCCATTGTCAGTTTAGTTTCCAAAGCTCTGTAGTGCCTTTATGTTCAATCTCTGTGTTAGGCTGAATAATGACTCCCCAAAGATGTCCATGGCCGAATCCCCAGAACCTGTGAATATGTTGTTTTATGTGGTAAAGGGGACTTTGCAGATGTGATAAAGGATCTTAAGATGGGAGATTATTGTGGATTAGTGTGTGGGCCCAGTGTAATCACAAGGATCCTCATGGGAGAGAGACAGGAGAATCAGGAAAAGGAGCTGTGATGGCCAAAGCAGAGGTTGGCGTGATGTGATCTGAAGATGGAAGAAGGGGCCAGGAGCCAGGAAGTACACGCGGCCTCTGGAAGTTAGAAAAGGCAAGGAAGTGGATTCTTCCCTAGAGCCTCCAGAACACGGGTCGGCCAACACCTTGGTTTTAGCTCCTAAGACCCATTTTAGACTTCTGACCTCCCAAATCATAAGATAATAAATTTGTTGTCTTAAAGCCACTAAGTTTGCAGTGATTTTTTATAACAATCCTAGGACACTAATACAGTTCTCCATGTGCACCACGCAGGGGCAAGTCTAAGAACCTGGTGGTGGCCTACATCATAGTTCAGATCTCACAGCCTTTTCCCTCTTGGTCCTGGTCAGTTCTACACATGGGCAGCTCAGGATTTTGTGCAATAATTGGAAGGACCGCTTTCTCCAGCTCCTTACTCTCTGTGATCTTCCCCTGACTCTCAGGCTCCTAAGACACCCCTTTCCTGGTGGTTTGACCAGAGAGACAAGAACCCTTAGGAATACTTCTGCTATCATGGCCACTGTTGCTGTGAGGAGGCTAATGCTTTCCTAGGGCTCACCTGGGTCTGGGTCTGGAGAGTGTAATGAGAGAGGGTTTTTCTTCTGGGGTTCTGGCTGCCCTAGAGAATAAACTAGGAGATAAGGAGTAAAAGGCAAACCCACCCTGTGGGTCATTCTTTGACTTCCTTTTCCTACCCAGTTTACTGACTTCTAAAAAAAAATTTTCTCGGAGCCCATTAATAATTGTTTTCTGTCTCCTGTTCAAGATTTTTAGCTGTAATCAATGGGAAAGATGCAGTAGAATATACCTACACCATCTTAACCAGAGCCAGAAGTTTCTTCATTTCTTTGTTACTTAAAAAAATTTCCTGCCCTTCTTTTTACCCTTCTGTTTGTCTTAAGGCATTATTCGTTTTTTATTCACTGTTACATCCTTTCTAGTTTAGCCTGCGTTTCTAAAATAATTTTTTGCTAATTCTCCCTGAGTTATTTTACTTCATTTGTGAGTTTTCCCAATTTTGGGGTTATATTGTTCTTTCATTTCCTATATTATTGTCACATGCCCTTTTGCTTGTGTTGAAGATATTAGGTTATCATTTTCTTTTGTAGCCATGTCTTTCTGCAGTGCTTTTATTGCCTATGGGGTAGCCTTCTCCTTTCGAAGTCTTTTCTTATATCTATATAGTATTTCCTCTCGATCCTTTTGTTGCTTATTTTTACATGGAATTATGTTTCTTGAACTTTTAGAAGGAAGCCTGGATTTCATGGCTCTGGAGCTCTCTCTCCTGTTATTTTTGTGAAGTGTTGAAATAAATGGCTGCTGACTTTCTGAAATCTCACTTTGCTCCCGTCACCTCCTTCTATTTGGACCTCTTTTTTCTTTGTTTTTTTTGTCCCTGTGCTGTTCAATTCAGATTCTCTCCCTGGTAATTTTTCCTTAATCTGGGCTCTGTCCTGGAAGAAGCCTTGGGCTGGTTAGTTTTGAGGATTCACAAGGCTCATCCTTGCCATGGAACCCTTGCACTACCCCGAGAGCTGGGGCACAAAGCTCCTCTCACTGCCCACTGCTCTCCTCAGCATGGCCCCTGTGCATTCCCATGAGTCCCTGTTGGGTTCTCAGTTCCATTCCATGCCAATTACTTTTCTCTACTTTCTTCCTCACACAGGTGTACCACAGTCTCGTAGGTATTAATGGCATGTTCCTACTCACTTGGGATTTGGAGTTCCAGGGAGTCTTTACTATTTAATTTTATTTTCGATGTTGTCCAGTGGTCTTTAGGTTTTTCATCCTGGTTTCTCTGTTTTTAATGGGCAATTCTGGATGATTAAAAACACTGTGTGGCCACTGCCTCCATCCTCGCCTCCATCCTCCTAAGTTATTTTGGTGAAAAGGTGTGTTCTTCTGCCAAGCACAGGTTCTAGGTAGGAAACTCACAGGAGAGAAGTGAAGATTTAGCACAGTCACTGATGGAAATAGGAAAGAGAGCTATCTGAGAGTAAGGTGAGGGCACAGTTGGAGGTGGGGTCCATGTATTCATAGTGGCACCAGCACCAGTCTGTGTGAATGTGGGCTTTTTCCTCTGTTTGCAGCTGTCACCCCAAATGAAACATCAGAGGAGGCTGATAGGTGAATTAAGTTAGGATTGCAGTTTTGTCTTGTTTATCCAACAGAAAGATGACAATGTTAGGAAAGTCAGATAATTTGGGGGAGAAGAATTCCATTCTTGGGAAGTGAAACCAGGGTGGGGCTGCTAAACTGGGAGGCAATGGAAAGGATCAAGAAACTGAATGTCTCTAATGAAACTAAAGAGCAAATGCAGTAGTAGACCATGTGAATGTGCTAGATGGAGGCCTGCCAGAGATTGCATGGGTAGAGCAGATCCAGGTAACAACAACAACAACAACAACAACAACAACAACAATGAAAGGTCCCACCTTAGGTGCAGGCTAATATACCTGATCTCTATAAATTATTAGATGCCCTGGAATTTCCAATTTCTCAACAAATGGTAAATCAATAAACCTTGCTGTTTATATCATCGCAGCAGTTTAAGAGCCACAAAGAAGATCATAGGCTCAAGAAACTTTGCAAGTATTCCTAAAAATACATAAATAGCTCTAGTCATGTGTCTATAATATGGGATCTACATAGAGCACAGAGCTTTTCTAACAATTTCACTGTGGCAACAAAGCAAAGTTAATTTTGATATGAGATAATAGTCTTTCTAAACATTGTGTATGGTTACTCTTACAGCTGAACGTTTCTTGAGAAAGTGTTGGAAATTAATTACAAATTTCTATTTTAGCATTTTAATGAGTGCAAAGTATTTTAACAGGACTTTGCAAACAGAACATCCCTTTAGAAAGAAATGTGACAATCCACAGTAACATTATACTTAGTATGTTACTGAAATAAAGGCTATTTGTGGTGGGGAGTCTGAACTTATGTCACATATTTAATGGAAACATCAGTAAGCTGTCAGCTCTGTAGTTTATCATACTTTAATAAAGAAATTTAACAGATTATGTTTAAAATGGACCAAAGAAAGGAGTAATTGCCTATCACACTGTAAAAAATCAGTCACAAATCTTTGGAATGTTTCTTTACACTAATTTCCACAGTGTTTGAGCTTCAGTATTTAACCACAGAAACAGTAAAGCAACCCTACATTCTCAAGATTTTATGGCTAGAATTGGATGCAACTTTAGCTGTCTATTAATACCAATGTTAATCTAAATACAAATATTAAAAAATATTTTTATGCTTTAATATGATTTTTTTTTTTTGAGACAGAGTCTTGCTCTGTTGCCCAGGCTGGAGTGCAGTTGTGCCATCTCTGCTCACTGCAAGCTCCGCCTCCCAGGTTCACGCCATTCTCCTGCCTCAGCCTCCCGAGTAGCTGGGACTACAGGCGCCTGCCACCATGCCTGGCTAATTTTTTTGTATTTTTAGTAGAGACAGGATTTCACCATGTCAGCCAGGATGGTCTCGATCTCCTGACCTTGTGATCCACCCACCTGGCCTCCCGAAGTGCTGGGATTACAGGCGTGAGCCACCGTGCCTGGCCTTCAATATGATATTTTAATGACAATACTAGAATTAATGTGAAAGTTTTCAATTTTTAAATATAGGTGGGACAAATGACTGATTATTCTTTGCTGCAGGTGACTTAAAAAGATTGTCATGTTGTTCAAAATTAACAAAGTATAAAATGTCTAAGAGCCTTTTCCAGAAGTTGTCAGGTCACACTTTTGCAGCTGTCATTGGATGTGTGGGTTGGTTGTTTTAGTTTATATGTAGAGTAGTTATTGTAGGTGTGTTTATTGGATTTTTTTCAATTAAAAATATTACAATATGAGTAGAGAGAGACTGAAGTCTTCTGGACAGATGATTCCTATGAAACATTTTGCTGCATTCAGAAAAGGATTTTATCAACTTCAGAGAATATCAATCTTATTCCTTCTGCTACCATATAAAAATACATATATTTTTCTTTTTTTTTTTGGAGACAGAGTCTTGCTCTGTCACTCAGGCTGGAGTGCAGTGGTGCGATCTTGGCTCACTGCAGCCTCCGCCTCCTGGGTTCAAGTGATTCTCCTGCCTCAGCTTCCCGAGTAGCTGGGATTACAAGCATGTACCACTATGCCCAGCTAATTTTTGTATTTTTAGTAGAGACAGGGTTTCACCATGTTGGCCAAGCTGGTCTTGAACTCCTGACCTCAAGTGATTCACCTGCCTTGACCTCCCAAAGTGCTGGGATTACAGGCGTGAGCTACTGCACCTGGCCCCTATATTGATTTTTCTTAAGAAATATTTTGAGGGCCAGGTGCGGTGGCTCACACCTGTAATCCCAGCACTTTGGGAGGCCGAGGCGGGTGGATCACGAGGTCAGGAGATGGAGACCATCCTGGCTAACACAGTGAAACCCTGTCTCTACTAAAAAAAAAAAAAAATTTGCCGGGCGTGGTGGTGGGCACCTGTAGTCCCAGCTACTCGGGAGGCTGAGGCAGGAGAATGGTGTGAACCCAGGAGGCGGAGCTTGCAGTGAGCCGAGATCGCGCCACTGCACTCCAGTCTAGGCAACAGAGCAAGACTCTGTCTCAAAAAAAAAAAAAAAAAAGTATTTTGAGAATTCTAAATTAGAATTTGCTTCTGAGTCTTCACAAGATTACAATTACTTTCTGTTGTACTTCTTTCAGGAATGAGGGCAGAATGTGTTGACCTCAGAATTCCATATCATTATTTGAGCTTGTATCATAATTTAGAAGAGAAGAAAACTTGGACCGGGGGGTAATGGCCAAATACGGTGGGAAAACTCTGCCTTTTGTATCCAGTTTAGTAAAGTTAGAGTGAATGTTAGTGTGTTTTTGATTCTGAGAAATCTGTAGTAAAGAAACCTATTTAACCTTGATAAACCTAGCATTTCCCAAATTTATTTAATCTCAAAACCTTGTATACCACTGTTCATAGCAGCATTATTAATAATACCCGAAATGTGGAAATAACCCAAATGTTCAATAACTAATGAATGGATAAACAAAATGTATTCATTTTTGTATATATCCATTGTGTGTATCTGTATAATGGAATAATATGGAGCCATAAAAGAATGAAGTGCTGACACATGCTGCAGCATGGATGAATCTTGAGAATACTTTGTTAAGTGAAAGAAGCCGGAAACACAAGGCCAAGTATTGTATGATTCCATTTTTATGAAACGTTCGCAATAGGCAATCCACAGAGACAGAAAGTAGATTAGTGGTTGCCCGGGGTTAGGGGTTGGGGAGAATGGGGAGTATGCTAATGGGTACAGGTTTGTTTCTGGGGTGATGAAAGTGTTCTGCAATTAGTGGTTATTGTTGCTCAATTCGTGAATATACTGAAAAACCACTTTAAAAGGGTGAAGTGTATGGTATGTGAATTATATGTCAATAAAGCTGTTACTTAAAAAAAAAAACCTCCATAAAAAAGGGGCTATAGCAACAATTAGGGCAAGTGATAAGGGTTTAAAAATAAGGCAGTGGTGATAGAAAGTGACTGGAGAATTTAGGGGGTGAATTGAAGAGCCTCAGTGGCTGATTTGTACTAACAGGAACGTAAAGTCCCAGGGCTAACACCCTAAGGAGACAGTGCTCATGGGTCCTGTGGTGCCCAGGTTTGCACTTGAGCAGTGGCCAGCTTCGCTGAGAATGAAGGAATTCTGTACACGTAGTGAAAGAAAACCCTTTAACTAAAACTTCTAATGGCAAAAACTGCCATTACTTGTGCACCAACCTAATACTTCTTCAGTCATCTGTAGGCTGCAGGGCTGGCTACAGCAGCACACTTGCTTATACCTTTTCATGTGCTGTTGCCAGTGGAGTTGGGGTAATCTGGCTGGTGCTGCACATCAGGGTGAGGCGGCCCATGGTGGGAGGTGGAGAAGGCAGTCTTACCGACCTAGTATGAGCCACTCAAAGGCTGTCCTCATTTTCTAGGAGGAAACACACCCAAATGACCTGCATATGTTCCATAGTGGGCAGCAGAGTGCATGCATGGCAAGTTTGGATGGTGAACACACATTCTTGGAGTCTTATTTTTTTTTTGTAAAGAGATCCATGGGATTCCTCTTTGTCTACTCCCAACAGCACACCTCAGTTTTTTTACCATCATGTGAAAACAGCAGGCTTCTTGGAGTTGAGTCCTTATGTTATTCAGCTCCTTGACCCAGCTGGGAAAACTTTCTGTATCCTTGGATACCAAGGTCATGATATTCCCTTTGGGGCCGAGGCTGCTGTGGTCAGCACTTATGCTGTTCTCCCCTCTCCTCTGCTCTCCCAGGCCGAGGCTGTGATTCCACAAGCATGTGAGGAACTCCTTGAGAGTCCATCACACAATGCAGGCTCACAGCAGGAGTTTCTAATGAGGCGGCAGTGGATGGTCTCACATCTCAGTGAGAGGACTCTTTCCTTACCCCAGTCCCAGGTTTTCTGTTTAAAGCCAAATCCTTCATTATGTTGCTGAGACTCTTACCAGGTGTTTTTAAAACCACTTCTAAAGAGGACTATTTTTAACAGAGCTGAATGTCTATCCCATTCACAGAGTTCTCTGTTTTCTTACTACGGATTTTTGAGGTAGCCTGGGGAGGAGGATTGTGCCTTAAAAACTCCAGGCAGACTTGGAGGGGCTGTGTAGTGCGAGCTCCTGGAGTCTCACTGAGCCAGGTTTGAAGGCTGAGATGCTGTAAACCTGCTCTCTGCTTAAGGTCTCAGGGCCCTGTGGCCTCACTCCTGCAATGGGGATAACCATCCTGTGCAGGACCGTAATGAGCATGAAACTCAACAGTGTACAGAGAGCACTTGGGGCATGGCCTAACTATAACCGGGCAAGCCACTTTTCTGAGACTGTTTCGTCTTCTTAAAGGGTGAAGATGAAGCCCTATGCCTTTTAGGGTAGTTGAGAGGATAGAATGAGTTAATGTGTGTAATTATGTTGTATACGTATATTAAGGTTCAATTAGAGGAGACATGTACAGGGATCTTAATAACCCATTCCAGAGTTTTAGCACGAATACATGGCAGCATATTTTTTATTTGTAATTGTCTTTGTTACTTGATAGTGAACCTCTCTAACTTCTCCATTGCTTATGGTACCCAAAATAGGAGATGATCTTCACAAAAGAGAATCTCAGACTGAAATTCTGGGGAAAGGGCCAGGCGCAGTGGCTCACTCCTGTAATCCCAGCATTTTGGGAGGGTGAGGTGGGTAGATCACCTGAGGTCAGGAATTCGAGACCAGCCTGGCCAACATGGTGAAACCCCCATCTCTACTAAAAATACAAAAATTAGCTGGACGTGGTGGCAGGGGCTTGTAATCCCAGCTACTTGGGAGGCTGAGGCAGGAGAATCACTTGAATCCAGGAGGCGGAGGTTGCAGTGACCCCAGGTCGTGTCATTGCACTCCATCCAGCCTGGGCAACAGAGTGAGACTCTGTCTCCAAAAAAAAAAAAAAAAAAAAAAAAAAAAAAAAAAAAAAAAGAAAGAAATTCTGTGGAAAGATTACTCTCTGTCCCTCACTACCCATTTTTAAAAATATATATATTTATATCTTATAAAAATAATGTCATTATAGAAATTCTGGACAAGAGAGAAGAAAAATTGCCTGCAATTCCATGAATACAACTGATAGTATTTTTCTGACTGCAAATCTGGTCATTAAAAAGATACACATCTTACCTATCTTTAGATGTATATCTTATATATCTTTATATATGTGTATCACATACCCACAATCATAAAAATATACATTGTTTTCCCTTTTCTAAGTGTTTTCCAAATGGCAGCATGTCTTTAGTATTACCTGTCTCACGGAAATGTGAAGGCTTCACGCAGCCAGTGCTTAGCACAGTGTCGGGCATGTTGTTAGTGTCAGTAAATGAGAGCAAGTTATTATGACGGTCATCCCTCAGCATCTGCAGGGGATTGGTTCCTAGACCCCCAGGGATACCAAAACCCTGGATGCTCAAGTCCCTGATATTAAAGGGGTTTGTATTTGCATATAACCTCTGCACATCCTCCAGTGTACTTTAAATCATCTCTAGATTACTTATAATACCTAATACAACGTAACGGCAATGTAGCTGGTTGTTACACTGTATTGTTTTTTCATTTGTATTATTCTGTATTGGTTTTTTGCCCCCCAATTTTTTCCATGCACGGTTGGTTGAATCTGAATGGGGAACCTCTGGGTATGGAGGGCAGCTGTGTATGACTTTTCTCATAGTTTTATGATTTCCTCATGGATGCTCAGAGTGGATTCACCAGGTCAGGTGTGAATACTTCTGTGGCTCCTGATACCCGGCGTCTGCCTCACTGCTCTCTAAAAGCGTTGTTTTGGTTGACAGAACCCTTCACTGCTCACGGGGTTCACGGCTCCTCATGAGCAGTTGGAGTCCCTCTCCCCACCATTTTTCTTAGGTTTGGGGAGCTAATTTAGTAGCTAAAGATGTTACTACCTCACAATTATTTTCATTATTTAACAACTGCCATTGTTGAGCTTTTTTGTTGTATGTTTGTTTACTGGCAACGTTTCCTCTTTGTTAGGTCTGTTTAAGACCTATTCTCTTTAACTGTTGGAATCACTTAGCCTTTTCTTATTGAATTACATGGGTTCTTTAATAAAGAGATAAATCCTTTGTCATATGGACTGCAAATATTTTTCCTGACTGTTCTCTTCTTATTTTGGCTATGGGTTTAAAAAAAATCATACACATGCATAATGTGAACCATTTTCTGTTTGTGGCCGTCACAGTGAACTTTCTCACTATCCACATCAGCTCTGATGGTTTCACTTGGATGCTCCCCTTTGTCTCATGGACTCCTGATATAGTGGACACACATGGCTTTTATGGCAAAATGCAATTTGTTCACCCCCCAGAGTTAAGTCTGAAATACACAGACTCTTCGTAGACCCAGAGAATGTGTTTCTCTTGATTTAGGGAAATGAGGTAGACAGGAAAAGAGTTAACAAGATGATTGCTTGATTTTTATCTCAAGTTATAATTTCAGCTCTTCATGATTGGCATCCTCTAGACATTCGCCATCCTTTAGGACTGAAGGTATCACTGCAAATATTTATTTGACAAGAGTATGGTCCACTCACCATAAAGCCTCAGCCAAGTTCTCTCAACATCTCCCTCTCTCGCCTACCCTGACCACCACCTTCCGATTTTTTTTTTTTTGGCAAGGAGACCCTTAGTCTTGGTGAGATTTGTGAATTAATGGTGTGAGGCTCTTCACATGGATGACAAAGCTGGCCAATATGCTTTCTGCGAATCTGTGAAATCTAAACTACTTTCCCTGCCAGAGGACAGGTGCTCCCATCTGGCGCTCTACCTTTTCTCCCCAGGGAGCCTGGCACGCAAGTCCTTAGCATAGCAAGGTAGGTCTATACAGCAGCCTAGAGAGCAGCACCAGCCATGACTGAAGAAGGCAGTGAGGCCCCCCGACTGGATTTTAGGATAGGATAGAAATCACCCTGGCTGGGCGCAGTGGCTCACGCCTATAATCCCAGCACTTTCGGAGGCTGAGGTGGGTGGATCACCTGAGGTTGGGAGTTCGAGACCACCCTGACCAACATGGAAAAACCACCGTCTCTACTAAAAATACAAAATTAGCCGGGTGTGGTGGCATAGGCTTGTAATCCCAGCTACTCAGGAGGCTGAGGCAGGAGAATCGCTTGAACCCGGGAGGCGGAGGTTGTGGTGAGCCTGAGATCGCGCCATTGCACTCCAGTCTGGGCAACAAGAGTGAAACTCCATCTCAATAAAAAAGAAAAAAAGAAAAGAAAAGAAAAGAAATCACCCTGTATTCCTCTTCCTGGAGAAAGTGTGTTGTGTCTCCTCTTAGGCTCATGAGCTGGACTTGCCATGTGGCTCTAAGTGGGTCCCTGGCACAGCAGTGATACCAGTGGGAAGCTAACAGCTTTGAAGCTTTCAGTTGCACAAGTGTAATAAGAAGAGCACTTCAATGAAAGGAAGAGCCTCAGAGCCAGTGCCAGCGTGTTTGCAAGTCCCTTTCAACTTTTACCTTCAATTGTCTTCTTGGCTTTTCAACTCTAAACCTTCCCTCAATATGGAGTCCCATCCTTTCTAATCATTAAGTTCTGCACTAAAGTCTATAAGAGAACCCATACAGCTGATGTATGAGGGGTAGAACAGGTTTTGCATCCCTGTGGCAGGACGATGGCACACAAAGATTACGTTGGCTTCCAAGTCTAGATCTATAAATATATTTATTATAATATAACAAGAACTTAACAGTAAACATATACTATGTACAATACCATTACAGAGAACCCTGTTTTATATCATTCACAGAAATAGCCAGTTTTGCTCCAGTGTGATAGATGAGGAGAGAAACGAATTTCAATGTCATCTGTGTTGAGTCTCGCTGACAACTAGAACCTCCTTTGGAGGCAGACGCACACCAATGCTAACATTAGCCCTGCCCCAGGCAGTTAGGAATTTGTGCTCCAGTCCTTGGGTTCACACTTGCACCCTGTTTGACATAAATACTTTAAATGACATACAATGTATGTAGTTTTGTGCTTATTACTTTTTAAAATAATAAATAATATTAAAAACTGCATAACGAAGCTCGGTATCTTGTCCAAGTGGGAGCCACACTCGTAGTGCTAGAAGTTGATGCCCAACGTTAGAACTGGAATTTTGTGTCATCAAATACTGAACGATGGAAAGCGTGTCCTGTCTTTTTCTCTTATAAATGGTTGTTATCATGAAACGATGGCAAGTTGACTTCCCAGATATAAAAGTGGTAAATGTGTATTTGGTACCAACTTCAACTCAACAGCGCAGTGGCGGCAGCATTCTCCTGCCCTGGAATGGAAACTGTTGACCGTGTGAGGTTTGAGGGGCTAAGGACAAGTGGGAAGGCCTTTCCCTTTTGAGCCATGGTGTGACCTCCCTCCTGGCTTCCCTTTTCTCAGGTTCGTATGTGACAAGAAGAGTGGTTCTGTTCATGCCCTCAGGCCTTGCTGCCATGGCTCCACTAAGAAGGCTGTCCCCATCCTGAGAGCTCTTGTGGCAGGTGCCTTAATATATAGCTATGAATATCAAAAATAGTCTCCTGTGCTTTATAGACGCTAATTCTCCCTCCTTCCCTTCCCACTGGCCTGGTCCTCAGCTTGACCTCATGGAGGGAGCTGGGCCGGTGTCCTGAGCCAGAACCGGGCTCCTTCTAGAGCAGACTCTTCTTCCTTGGGCACAGCTTTTATGGGGCTGTCTGGGAGTTACTTTTTCTAAAAATAAAATGGGGGCATCGCCCACCCCAGGAGAGATCCTCTATTCTGCACATAGAAAAATGAGAGCAAAAGCCCCCCTCTGGCACTACCTACAAAGAGCTTTGGGAATTCCCACAACATTATCCCTCTTGTGGCCTGCTCCTCCTCTCAGTACTTAAAAATAGCCTTTTGTTTATCAAGAAAATGCCTCAGAAATCTAAATAATTCATACCGGGTAAGAGAAAGCTAGCGCAATCACTGTCCTTCTCCAGCAAAAACACAGTAGAAAAACCTGTGAAGGACAGACCGCTGTCCCTGCTCCCCGGCTGTCCCACAGCTGCCACCCCTGGCTCCGCGTGGGCAGCTGGGCTTCTCTTCAGCCCCAGTGGGGACCAGCAGCCTCCTAGGCCTTGTGATGCACAGTATTGTCCCTCGTTTTCTGTCGGCCACTGAAAGTGTAGATCGGTTAAAAAACAAAAGTAGGAATCAAAGTGATAAGGACACTTTGATCTTATTCCAAGAGAGCCTGATGCCTAATGTTGTCATAAGATAACTGATCTATGGTTGTTTAGGGATCAAGCTTGCTCTGCAGGAAGGAAAAAACAGCTTCTCTCTCCCAGTTGAAAAATACGTGAAACTCTATTGCACCTGGCAGAGCGAGCGCCCCTGTTCAGGAGGCAGCCAGCCCCATGGCGGGATCGTGGTTCCTGCGGCTCCAAGCGCGGTGCCTCCGTTTCATCCAAAGGCGAGGATGATTTTCTACATTCAATGTAGAGAATATTCAACATGTTGAGCGCAGTGAGTTCCTTGATTGTGTTTTGTTGGCCTCTTGTTGGTGTCGCTGGAAAATTATCATTGCGTGGCACTTGCCTCACCAGACTTGTCCACAGTCTTATCGTGGGCTTTCTGCTGATGTCAGCCGCTTTGAATATATTTCTTTATCACGACGCAGCCGTGTCTGAACACAGGGCAGGGCATGTGGGGGAGGAGGGTCCATGTGTTGGTTGTGGGCTCGTAGGCCTCCATGTTGCCCAGCGCGGGCCCTTCACTGCTGACAATACCTCCAGTTGCATAAATCTTGCCATCAAGCACCACAGCACTGTTGGGGGAAAGCGGGGACAGAGTTAGGCATTTCACTTCCAACTTGGCCCTGGAGATAGGTTCTCAACGTCGTGTCCTGTTGTAGGCTGCCTGTGCCTTTTGCAGAAGGCATCTGGGATCTTGCTGCCCTTCTTTGCCCTCTAACCTGGGCTGGCATAAGAAAAACACCTGTCCTCCAGGGCCAGTCAGGAAGCCGTGCTATGCCACCCTGCGAGCGGCAGAAGGCGCTCCCTCCCTGCCCCGCCAGAGTGACTAACCATGGCTAGGAGACGAAAGATCTCTGTGCGGGCACTCAGCTCAGGTCACTGAGGCTTTCTGGAGGCTCTTGTGTGGCACACGCAGCCTTCCTACTGCTCAAATCAAATTGGGAACATGACTCACAAGAATGACGAGAGAGAATAATAAGGAGCTCAGCTGGAATTGAATGTCAGCCACTTGACTGGGAGCTCCACCTGCCAAGGTGCTTCTGTGTGACCTGGTGCTGCTGCCCACCCAGGATTGCAAGGGCCGGGCATGCTCTGCAGGGTGACCGATGGCTGTGCCTGGACCCCTTCCCTGTGTGACACTCACTGGCTTGCTCCTGTTGTCTCAGTCAGCTCCTCTCATCATGAGGGCTCAGCATCTGGCCCCTCTCTGCACTGACTCCCTTAATGCATTTCAGCTACTTCTTTGCACTGACGTCCACATCCTTGTTTCTAGCCCTGACACTCTTTCATTTCAGCTAATGGCCATTTCTTCCTGGCTATTCCCTGACATTGGACACATACCTTTTCAAAGGCTCCACCCGTTTCTGAAATCTCTTAAAGAGAACACATCAGTCTGGACTTCTTACCAGACCCTGAAGCTTCCAGTCTTCTCTCCCTTAGTTCATGCCATCTGGGGCCCTCATATTTTCCTTCTGTGGTGCACCTATTACCTGATTATCTTGCAAGACCCAGCTTAACTCTGCCATTTGCCGTTAAGTCTTTCCCATTCTTTTTTTTTTTTTGAGACGGAGTCATACTCTGTCACCAGGCTGGAGTGCAGTGGTGTGATCTCAGCTCACTGCAACCTCCGCCTCCCAGGTTCAAGCAATTCTCCTGCCTCAGCCTCCTGAGTTAGCTGGGATTACAGGCGCCTGCCACCACACCTGGCTAATTTTTGTATTTTTAGTAGAGACGGGGTTTCACCATGTTGGTCAGGCTGGTCTTGAACTCCTGACCTCGTGATCCATTCACCTCAGCCTCCCAAAGTGCTGGGATTACAGGCGTGAGCCACTGTGCCTGGCCCTTTCCCATTTACTTCTAGTCTCAGAGAAGGTGCGAGCATCCTCCCAAGTGGAGCGCAATGCTCCAGTTGTCTGCATCAGTGGACGGGGTAGTCAGACTGTGCTCTGCACACTGCCACCATTAGGGTACATGACATGGAAGTATGGCTCAAGAATTGTGAAATCTCAGTCCAACAGGAGCTTAGCAGTTGTCTGGTCCAACCGCCTGTTTCACAGATAGAACTTCCTCAGAGAGGTGAAGGGATATGTCCAAGGTCACTGACATGCTAGTAGGAGGTTATATCTTTTCTAGCTATGCTACACAAACAATGGGCACTCTAAGTACTTCATGCTATTCCCACACTGAAGATTCTGCAGTTACCTCTACATAGGCACAAGATGTCTTCAGGAAGCATCTGCTATGGGAGTCCTGACAATGAGGTTTCTGAGGCCCCTTCTTTTTTGTGAGACGGAGTCTTTTCCTGTCACCCAGGCTGGAGTGCCGTGGCGCGATCTCGGCTCACTGCAACCTCCGCCTCCCGGGTTCAAGCGATTCTCCTGCCTCAGCTTCCTGAGAAGCTGGGATTACAGGCACATGCCACCACGCCTGGCAAATTTTTGTATTTTTAGTAGAGTCGGGGTTTTACCATGTTGGCCAAGCTGGTCTTGAACTCCTGATCTCAACTGATCCATCCGCCTCGGCCTCCCAAAGTGCTGGGATTACAGGTGTGAGCCACTGCACCTGGCCTTGGGGCCCCTTTTTATTCCTTGTTCCTCTTAGTCCAGGAAAGGATGGGGCTGGAAGAGCAGGGACTGGTGTCTCGCTGCCACAGGGCCAGAAAGCCTGGGGACCGAGCCACACTCAGCCCTCTACCTTCTCTGCCTGCAGGGGTGGGTTTGTGTGTGCTTTTGCCCAGTCAGCCTTTGGGACTCTGAGCACAGCTCCCAAAGCCATCAGGATCGTTCATGTCCTCAGAGCATTCCCCCAAGAAGTCACTTGTCCCTGTAGGGCATCACACAGCTCTGGCCTGGCACTGCCTTCTGTCTGTGATGGGGCAGGTGGTCCTGGGGGAAGCTGACCTCACCTCTCACTGAGAGCAGGGTAGCCTTGATGCCTTCAGGAAATGGTTCATTTCTGCTGGAGCTGGGGCCAGCTGGAGCCCCGGGGTTGGGCTCCTGGACCAGAGGCTGCCGTGGGCTCCACCCTACTGGTCTGGGCTAATGCCCACTCCTGTGGTTGGAGGGGGAGGGCCACTGCTCTGGGCCTGGGAATTGCTATGGTCACTGATGGCAGGAAATCATTGTGGTCACACCCCTCCTCCTCCCACTCCTCCGTCCCAGCCCTAGTCAAGGCGCCGCAGCCTCTCACCTGCAGAACTGGCGAGAGTGGTTCATGTTTGGGCCCGCCTTAATGTTTCCTTTCTCAGGGTCGTAGATGGTGGTAGCTCTGGCATAAGCCCCGCCCAGGATGAAAACGAAGCCATTGAGCGTGACAGCGGGGGCATACTTGTTGTCTGTGAGGAGAGCAGAGCAGGCAGGTCACGGCAGCTTGTCTTGGACTTCCCTCTCCTTTTCTTTCCCAGAAGACCCTCCAGGGAAGGAAGCTCGAAAGACTTCCAACAAGTGACTGATTGGCCTGGGGATGGGTCCGGGGCCTAGGGGAACCTGGAGCCTTGACTCACTTGCCCCTCTCCAGACACCTGAGCTGGGGGCTCGGCAACTCCTGCCACCCTCTAGATCTGGGTCTGCAGAGCTGTTGGGCTTAGCCTGACTTCTGGGCATGGGATACTGAACAAATCAGCAAGGCAGGGATGCGACCCTGGCCCTGGGCTGAGGACACCGCTGGTTCTCACCAATCATTGGGGACTCGATGAAGCTCCACGTGTTGGTCTGAGGAACGTAAGACTGGAGGACGCCGGCAGCTCGGCCTGCCTCGTTCACCCCACCAAACACGTAGATCTTGCCGCCACACACTGTGGCTGCAGCAGAGTGTACTGCCTTGGGCAGAGGGGCCACCGCCTCCCATTGGTTGGTGATGGTGTCGTACCTGCAGGAGAGGAGAAAAAGAGCCCAGGGTCAAGATGGACCTTGTGCGGGGCAGAGGTCACAAGCAAGGGCAGCAAACTGCCATCTGCTCCTCGCCCTCAGCATGGCCAGCATAGCCTGAGATCACACCAGCAGTGGGGGGCACTGCGATGAGACACTCAAGACCTCCTGGGGTCTCGTCCAAACTAGCCCTCTCGGCCTTCCTCTGGAACATCAGTGGGCTCTTTCTGCCTATGGCAGCGTCTGTGCAGAATTCCTGTCTCCATCCCTTTGCTCACACAGTGCTCCCCTCCTCTCTATCCAGCTCAGTCCTACCCTTGCATTCCGCAATGCTGGACTGAGCATTTGCTTTATAGCCAGGCCCCAGGCTGGAAACTGGAGAAACGTGCTGGATGAAGCACCATTCCTGCCCTCGAGGTGCTTATGGCCTCGTGGGGAAGGCAGCCAAATAAAACACACAAAGAATAATTACATGCAGGATGCTGAGTGGTCTGAAGGTGAGAAACCCAAGGTGCACATGGCAGGGGGCACCCAGCAGCTCCAATAGGTCATATTAGCTTTCTGGAGGCGCTGATACCCAGGCTGGGCCTTGAAGAGTGAATAAGCTACTAGCTAGGTGGATGGGAAGCAGGACTGAGTGGGCACAGGGAAAACATTACAGGTGAAGGGAGAGCAGTAGGCAAAGGTGGCATTTTGGGAGAATTTATAGTGCAGACAGTCCCCGACTTAGGATTTTTTGACTTTATCATGGTGCAAAATGATTGCAATTTTGATGTAATATACAGTGTTCAATAAAATCCATGAGATATCTGACATTTTATTATAAAATAGGCTTTGTGTTAGATGCTTTTGCCCAGCTGTAGGCTAATGTAAGTGTTCAGAGCATGTTTAAGGTAAGCTGGCTGAACTATGATGTTCAGTAGGGCAGGTGTATTAAATGCATTTTTGCCTTAGAATATTTTCAACTTATAATGAGTTTATCAGGACATAACCCCATCATCAGTCAAGGTGCTCCCATAGTATGGAATGGCTGGAAGTGGGGGGTAGTTAAAAAGAGCCATGTGGGCTGGGCGCGATGGCTCACGCCTATCATCCCAGCACTTTGGGAGGCCGAGGTGGGCGGATCATCTGAGGTCGGGAGTTCGAGACCAGGCTCACCAACATGGAGAAACCCCGTCTCTACTAAAAATACAAAAAAAAAAAAAAATTAGCTGGGCATGGTGGCACATGCCTGTAATTCCAGCTACCCAGCTACCCAGCTACCCGGCTGAGGCAGAAGAACTGCTTGAACCTGGGAGGCAGAGGCTGCGGTGAGCCAAGATCGCGCCATTGCACTCCAGCCTGGGCAACGAGCAAAACTCCGTCTGAAAAAAAAAAAAAAAAAAAAAAAAAAGCAAAAAAAAGCCATGTGTGCGAAGCTAAAGGAGTTGGGCTTTATCTAGAGTGCAGTGGGTGAAGGTTTGTTTGTTTGAGGCAGGGTCTTGCTCTGTTGCCTAGGCTAGAATGCAGTGAGTGGCATGATTATGGCTCACTGCAGCCTTGATCTTCTGGGCTTAAACAATTCTCCCACCTCAGCCTCCTGAGTAGCTGGGACTACAGGTGTGCACCATCATGCCTGGCTAATTTTTTGATTTGTCGTAGAGATGAGGTCTCCCTATGTTGCCCAGGCTGGTCTCGAACTCCTGAGCTTAAGCAATCCTCCCACCTTGGCCTCCTAAAGTGCTGGGATTACAGATGTGAGCCACAGCACCTGACTGCCCTGAAGGTTTTAAGCAGGAAAATAATGTGATCAAATTTGGCATCTAGAGAGATCACTGTGTCTGCAGGATGGAGTATGTCCTGGAATGAAGAGGTCAGAAGCGGGGAGACTAGTTGGACTAGTCTGCACAAGAAATTTGGTGAGATGCGACAGTGGCTTGGACCAAGGAATGACAAAAGAGTATGAGGACAGGAGAACAGAAGGAGAGGGGAATGGGTGTGTTTGCTCATTGAGATAGTTGCCAAGGATGGTTCAGGGTCTGGCTTGGGACTGGTGGATGGTGACACTACTGGTGGGATGGGAAGGTTGAGGGAGGAGGGTGATTTCAGTTTTCTTCACAGGAAGTTTACAGTATTTGTGGGCAACAGATTGGAGATGTGCAGCAGACAGTCAGATATTTGGGTGTGGATTAAATATTCAGCTGTGGGATCTCTGGCACAAAGCTGGAAATGGAAGCTCAGGAGTGTGCTGGGGAGATGTGAAGTGCATGGGGGCTGAGGACAAACTGGGGAAATGTAGTCTTTAAGAGGGGAGCTGAGAGGCGTCCTCAGAGGGCAGCCAAGGTCCCAACAGCGAGTGAGTGGCTGTGCCCCTGAAGGTGAGGGCTTCAAGGATGGAGGATGGAATCTCCAGCAGGCCACTGCTCTGTAGTCAAGGGCACTTCAACCGGAACAAGAGGTGCAGAACCCATTTGTGTCAGTGGAGACCGTGGGTGTAGACTTCTTTTGGAAGAAATTTAGCTGTGAAGAGGCACAGAAGGTAGGACCTAGAAAAGAATCCGGAGCTGAGAGGGGTCAATGGAATGCTGATGAATGTTTAACAGCCAGCTCTCTAGGGAAAACGTCATGGTTTGTAGCGTTTGCTGGTTTCTGCGATGTCACTCCTCCCACTTGGCTGATTTCAAGCTACCATAGGGATGTTGCTGAACATGGAGTTGGAAAGAGATGTGCTGTGGCCACCATTCTCTGGAATCTCCTCCCTGGAGAGGCGCAATAGGCATATATAACCTCAAGGCCCAAGAGAGTAGTAACATGTAGTAAAAAATTAGGAAGTGATGAATTTTGAGTATGGATTACCTTTGTTTTTAATATGTGTATATAATTTTTAATAATTAAAAATTGTTAAATTTTTGTGGTTAAAACAACTGGCTCAGAGTTCCTGTAATTTTAACTTCAGATCTCACGAGCCAGCAGAAAACAGGTCTTGTTTTAATTTTTAAGGGGAATGTTTAATTGTGTTTACATGCTAAAATAGGAAGGAGTCCAACTGGATAATGAAAGATTAAATGTGTATGAAAGAGACGGGAGTGCTGATGATGGAAGGCTTCCAGGAGGTGGATGCAAATGGAATCCAAAGTGCAGAGGGAACGTGGAGTCCATTTGCACAGGAGAGAGGAAGTCAAGGATGGCACGAGTGTAGCTGTATTTGTAGGAATGACTGCAGGAAGGTGAGCAAGTTCTTGACTGATGGCTCCATTTTCTCTGTGAAGCAGGAGTCAGAGTTGACCAAAGTAGTGGGGGAGTCTGTAGGGTCAGATCTCTGAAGAGAGAGGTCAAGACAGGAAATAACTGCTCATGAGAGTAGGAGAAAGTGCTGAAGAGGGAAACCCAGAAAGGCTGCCTTGCAGTGTGAAGGACCCGGTAGAGGATGGGGGCCTTCCCTTCTCGTGTGGTGGGGCCAGTGTGTTATGGGGTGGGATTTCCTCCATCAGCATTCAGCCCCCAGGGCTGGGCGCCGAGAAGGCAAACGGTTGGGTTGAACAGATCTGCTGATGTGGGGTGCAGGACAAAGCAGCAGAGGAAAAGGATGAAGTGATAGAACATGAGTGCCAGACAAGACAGGGGAGAAAGGACAACAGGAGGCAGCTGCTGGGAAAAGCAGACTTGGGGTTCAGCAGCCTGGCCAGGTCACTGGGATGTTTGAGGTCTTGCTTCATGGGGAAGCTGGAATATCGGTCCTCAGTGTTTCTGTCGGGTTCCTTGGGGGCTGGTCTCCCAACTCCAGTTGCCTCCATACTTAGGCCCTCCCAGCAGGGGACACATCTACCGCCCACCATGCTGCTCACTGTTCGGTGAGTGCCTGGACGCAATGCGAGGCCTGGGCATGGCATGCTGTGCCACCAGGGTTGGGTCTGTCCCCAGCACATCTTTCCTGGGAGGCATACGGGGCCTGCTTTCTTTCTGTGAGCCTCCTTGGGACACCAGTCATAACTCAGTCACAGCCCAGAGCCCAGGAAGCTGGCCTCCCAGAGCCCGTGCCTCTGCCTCTGAGCGAGGGTGATGTGACGTCCAGTTGTGTGCTTGGATTTGAGACGAGGCTGGAATGTCTCAAAGGGCAGCAGCGGGGCAGATTCAATTAAGCCCCAGACAAATGATATGTAGCTTATATGCAATGGAGTAAGTGTCTTTTTGGACAGTGTCAGAAGTTCAGATATCTGCTTTTTAAGCCAATATGGCAGGGTTCCAAAGAGCTCCTGCAGAAGGAGCTGGGAGACAGTGGAAGATTATGTGGCTGTTAGTCCTCAGTCTTTCAGTATGATGGCACATCGCACCAAATGCGAATTTCCTGAGAGCTTGTTATTCCAGGTGGCTGATTGCCAAGCCATGAGCCCTCCCGTCAGCTCAATCTGTCAGCTTCCTGCTTGAGAAGGATATGCTAATGACATGCAAATGACCCTGCCGAGTGAGGCGTTCTGCTATCATTTATCCAGTAACCACAGTGACTGCAATATATTGCTATAAAATATTAGACCCGGTTATTTATATAATGATATAATACAGGTTTGTCTATTGTGCTGTTGTCTTAATCTATAATTATATAATCTTGCTCTATTCCTGTAATACCATAATGTAATATAATTATAATGCACCATATATCTCATTCATTATCAATATAATAGCCATTTGTACCATTAGTGCTTCCTGGGGAACAAAGCCCCCTCGTGTCTGTCCCCATTACCCTGACCTTCCTGTCACCCTGAATTCTCATCATTGCCACTGTGTGCCACAGAAAGCAACCTACCCGAAGGGGGTCTAGCTACACTTCTTGGAAAGCAGTGAGCGTTCCTTCCCCTGCACCCTCCAACCCACTTGCATGCACACTGCCCAGGGGTCTTCAAGCCTGCATCCTGCCCCTGCAAGGACAGTTGGCAGACTCTGGTGGGCTGAGGAAGGGCTCAGGGCCCTTCAGGGCACCCTTTTGTCCTTCATCTCTTGGGGTTCCCGGGGTGGTCTCGCTCACACTGTGCCCATGCTGAACTTTCACAGCCAGAAGGAGGGCCTTGCCCCCCAGGGAAGGCCCATACAGGCAACCCCTGGTCTTGGAGAACTGCTCCAGGACCCTGGAAGAGTAGAGCTTGTCTCACTGCTTAGTTGGTGCATTTGATCCTTGAACAAATCCCTATATTTATCAACAGTATAAGTTTGCAAAATGAGTAATCAGTGTCTTAGGAGATTAAAAATAGCCGACAAAAGCAAGACAGAATGACGGATCCAGTTCAGTTTACTCCTACAGAGAAAATGTCTCATTTTTCATGTGTTTGTTTATTATTGGATGACAAATGATCGGAAGCCGATGCTTCCAGAATGCTTGGGGTATGCATAGCTGGGCAGTGGGTCACACTGAAGGCTGCCAGCACCGGGGCCAACCCAGCTCCAGCAACTGCGGTAATATCCTCATTTTCACGTGGCAATGCCCATGATTGCCAGATCAATATGATAACTAAATGTTGTTACTGAGCCATCTCTGGGCTCTACTTGGGGGAGGAGTTAAAAGCCCACAATGAGCATTCAGAGCCTGCCTCACTCTGCAACCGTCTTTGCTGTAACATTTGTCAAGTGTCCAATTAGCCACCAAGGGGGAAAAATACAAATTGAGGGGTATGTGTGGCTTCATAGGCAACATGATGTCCCACGGGAAGATGTGCTTTCTGGTGACACATGGCGGTGGGGGTGGTGGGCTCAGGTGCAGGAGGGGCTCTGGCAATCTTAGCTGTCTCCCCTGGGTTGTGCTTTGGGCCAGGTCAGCCTGACGGGTTACCCTCCAGGCACTAGTTTCTCCAAAAGCAGGACTAAGCCTCCGTTCTGCTGCCTGACAAAGCTTCCTGAGCTTTTCCCCCAGGCATCTGTTCTCTGTAAGAAAGAACAGTCTCCCTGGCTCAAGGGAAAAGGATTTTGTATTCTCATCCGGAAGCACCCACTTCAGCCCACGCCCCTCATGCCTGTATCTGACCCTCCACAATGGCCTTGGGAGGAAGCCAGGCTGGGACTCCCAGCGGAGGGCAGGTTCACACGTGGTCCTTTGGCTTATTTTTTCTTCTGGAAAGTTCTAGAGGGTTGGCAAGAATGTTCTCCCTAAATTGCTTAGTTTGTATGCAGTGGCCTTTCTCTGTATTACGAACAGATGTCCTGGTGTGTGTGGCTGGAGGGAGGAAGGGAGCTCCCTGGTGTGGGACCCCCCGCTTGGCAGGACAAGGAGGCACCGCCACTGGCATGACCTGCATTTTAAACATTGCTTCCAGCTTTGCCCGAAACCCCAGCAGTCTCTGGGCTGGTGCTCATGGTGCAGGGTGTTCCCTGACTGCCTGGCCAGGAGGGTCTGGCTCATCCCAGGCCTTCTGCAACTGGATCTTGGGCCTCCAGCTTGTCTGACACCTAAATGGGTTGTCGGGACAGAAGCGCCCCATCTCCCATCTCAGCGACTGCAAAGGTGACACAGATGTCATCCCATCTGCTTGTATCCCACACCCTGCTGCCCCCGGTGCTGTGACTGAAGAGCCTGGGATGACTGCCCATATGAATGGTCCAGGCTCTGCTCCATCGCCACTGAGTGGGTGTTGGGAGGTACAGTGAGTGACGTGATTTCAGTTCTTGGTGAGCAAAGAGCATGCCCCTGTCCTGACCGTGGCCTCATTACCTCTCCACGTGGTCCACGTTGCCTGCCACGCCAAGTCCCCCGAGGGTGTAAATCTTCCCATCGTAGACGAGGCTATTGTGCCGACAGCGGGGGACTGTCATTCTGGAGACGAGGTTCCAGTTATCAAGCAGGGACATGTAGCACCAGACATCAGCCAGCGTCACCCCTGATTCCATCCCACCTGGAGGCAGTGTGGGAGGCAGAGAGAGCGGGCGGGGTGAGGAGGGGCCTGGGGTCAGCAGGCCCAGCCCCAGGGGCAGAGGAAGGCTTCACCTGCAAAGTAGACACTTCTGGGCCATGGCCTTCCTCAGCCCTGACGTGGGGAGCAGTCCCCTTGGGACCCCCATGCCTGGTCCCGCCCCAACCCCGGGGGGCCTCACCTGAGAGGTAGATGTTGTCCCCTGCACTCACTACACTGAAGAACTCGCGGTCATAGAAGGGCAGCGAGGCCAAGGGGTACCACTTGTTGTTCTGCGGGTTCCAGCAGGTGACGGCCACCAGCGAGCGCTGGGTCATCCCCACCATCTGACGGCCCCCAACCAAGACGATGACCTCAGCCACACCTGCAGGGACATGGATGGGCGCCCTTGGGACACACTCTAAGACTGTCGGCATCTGTGCCTGGCACCTCACTGGAACCACTGAGCCCAAGACACTGCTTCTTGGGAGGTTCGGGGCGTGCCCCTTCATACCTGCAGAGAGGCGCGGCCGGGTTCGGGGCGTCTGCATCTCCTGGCGGGCGTGGGGCAGCATATGGTAGCGTTTGGCCTCGTTCACCAGGTCCCGGCAGGCTTCTGATGACTTGATCAGCTCTTCATTGTCAACCACATTGAGCAGGTAGCTGGGGTGGATGAAGGGGAGGCGGACCACGGCCAGGAGCTCAGCCGCGTACTGCAGGGTACAGGAGACAGAATCTTCTTAGACTAGCAAGAGAGAGCCACCTCCCGGACGGAAAGAAATGGTGTGGGGCTGCACAAGAATGGATAATTCCAGGCTGTGTTAGGCTTGGGAGTGTAGATACTCTGCTAGCCTAGACAGAGGTGAAGGGAAGTCTAGTCAGCTGGAGGTGTGGAGGGGAGGGCCGGGAGCGCAGGGGTGCGGAGGGGAGGCTGGCAGGCTGCAGCCAGCCCTGCAGGAGTGGGAGCATGTGTTCATCCCCCCAGCACCCCATTCTCTCACTCCACCTGGGGCTGTGGACCCCTGCTGCAGATCAGGCCACTGGGGGCAGGGGCGAGGGGTTAAAATGAGGAAGACGCGATTATTAAAGAGCTGTGAGTGTGACAAGGACTCAGGAACAGGTGGGAGGACCCAGGAAAGCTTCAAGGAGATGGCGACTATTGAGCTTGTAAGTCTCAGCCGTGGGAGCCTGTGTCTCTCCAGCACCGAAAACTTTCAGTGGTGTCCCATGTCCCACGGCCTCAAACTGTCACCCTGCACTGAGGTGGTTTTACAGGCTCCCTTGAATCTCCCCTCCTAACAAACTCTGCTCATCACTCTACTTTCGTTTCATCCCATGAGTAACGAGACCACCATAGGCCAGGCATGACGCTCATCACTGGGGGTGCAGAGACCACTGTGACCCAGTTTCAGACCTCAAGGGGTACACAGTTTAATGGGAGGGGATCTGCTATGAAAAATTCACGAGGGGCAAGAGGAGTGTCTAGTGAGGGTTTGTAGTGGGTGCAGGAGTAAGAGGTTTTGCAGAGGGAATGGCATCTGGATGGGGTATACAAAATGGGCAGACTTCTGCCAGGCACAAGGTGGATGGGAGGGTGGACATTCGAAGCCCGTGTAGAGGCGTCAGAGAGTGAAAGAGAATGGTGTGTCTGGAGAATTGTCTGGGGTTTATTCTTACGAGATGTAACAGGATTTTGTTGAGGAGGCGTTTAGGGAGACAGGGAGAAGTGAGAGGAGAGAGGCTGGGGAGGCCAGCTCATGCTCATGCTCAACAAGGACTGCACAGTTTCCCCTGTGGAGTCGACGAGGCAACTGAGGAGGGGTTTGAGTGGATGGATGAGATGTTCAGTGTGCTTTTAGAGAGACCGCTCAGGCTGGAGGGTGGAAAATGGATTTGGAGGGAGCAAGACAGAGGCAAGGAAACCACTTAGGAGGTGCTGCAGTAATCCTGGCGAGAGGAGGAAGGTCTCGATGGGGAGAGGGAAGTCGATCCACTTAAAGGGGAGGAAGGAGGCAGGAATGAGCGCGTGTAGCGAAATGGCTATGGGAGAAGTGGGAGGAAGCTAAGCTTCAGTTCTGGGGACCAGGCATCGCTGAAATAAGGAACAGGAAGAGGTGTAGGCTTTCGGCTTGGTGAATTAGACGGATCTGCAGGACATTCTGCTGGAGAGGCCCAGAAGGCCACTGAGCAGAGGGGTCTGGAGCTCAGGAAAGGGTTTCAGCCTGAGACACAGATCTGGGAGTCATAGGGACTTGTGGCTGTCACTGTTATTAGCTGCCCCATCTAACTTCCTACCTCTGAAAAGAAACCCTGCCTCCCACCTGATCTGAGGACCCCTTTCTCTGGGGCTCAATGGCGAGATCTGGGGCGGGAGCCCTCTCTGTATCCTCTGTTTACCCAACACAGTCCCCTCAGGACCTCACTCTCCCTCTTCCTGCATGCAGGGGTTTCCATTTGGTCCATTGCGGGCTGTCCATCCCCTCAACAATCAGAGCAGGTATGGGCTCCTCCAGCTGGGTCCGTGTTCCTGGGAGCCCCAGAGCCCCCTGGCTCAGGGACCCACTTCTCCCTGCAGAGTGCAGGTGCTGCGGCTCTTGGCCGACTTGGGTCTCCTTTGGGGTGGAATGCCAGCCCTTGAGGATCCTTTGGTGACTGGTTTCTCACCTCTCTGCCCGCCCTTCACCTCTCTGCCACTTAGGGAGAGCAGGACAAGGAAGGTTCACTTCCTTCCTCCTTGCTGCAGACCCCATTGCCGCAGGGGGACCCCAAACCCAGAGAGAAGGGGCGGGGGACAGGGCAGGCCCCACCTGTGTGCGTGTCGCGGGGTCCTTCTTGATCCACTTGATGACTGTCTCGTACACCAGCTCCTCAGCCTTGGTGTTGAGGCTGTCGTTGGAGACGTAGGCGATGAAGTCGTCCTTGGAGATGCTGAGGATCTCCTCCTGGGCGGCCACCTCGGGGAAGATCTGCAGCGCGAAGGCCTTGGCCATGTGGTAGAGCTCGCTGCACTGCATGGCCTCGGCCATGGCCAGCACGCCCAGGCAGTTGCTGGCCGTCAGCTGCTTCTCTGGGGGCGACAGCGCAGGACCACTGACCCAAAGGCCCGGGAAGCAGTTGCCACCTGTTCCCATTGCTGTCACCCTAGATCCTTCTCTGAACCCACATCCCGGGGGACCCTGACTGCAGTGTCCAGAGTCCCTGCAGGCCCCCTTCCTGGGTGTCTGGAGGCTTCGATCCTTCTCCTGGGTTCTCCCCTACCCCATTTCATGCTGACTCCCAGGGGCCTCCCTCTGTGCGCACAGGTCCTGGCAGAAGGACCGAGACTGGGAGGCATGGAGCAGGAGAGCCCTGCTCAGAGCCTGGGCCTGGGCTGGGGTCAGGCGTCAGGAGTCACACTGTCGCTGAGGTTGAGGGTGGCACTGAGGCTTACAGCATCTTCCATGTTGTGCCAGGCATGTCTGTGGTCCCAGACTCCTTCGTTAGCAGTAGTGCCCCTCACACACCTCCCAGCTTCTTGCATAGGCTTCTGCCCCACTCAATCTGGCTCGCTAGGCTCTGGGGTCCATCTGGCCAGCTCTCCTGGGCTTAGTGGCTAGGTCTGGGGTGGGAGCCATCTCCGTATCCTGTTTACCCAATACTGTCCCTCCCAGGGCCTTGCACTCTTTCCCCTTCATGCTAGTGGTTCTTCCAACCTAGGCGTGTCTGGGTTTCTGGAGGCCCATCTGTGCGCGAGCCTCACTGCCATCGTGGTTCCTGGCACCTCGAGACTGCTTGGTGCCCCTCTGTCCTCACGGATCTGCCCCATCTCTAGGCTGGGCTCTGGCTTTCTCTCTGCACTCCACACCCCAGGCCACTGCTTCTTTGGGGGCTTTCGTCTTTGTCCCTCCCTCACCTTGCCGTCGCCCATGCGGGGTAGCATCAAGCGTAAAGGCAGCATGTTGTTCGGGTCAGCGACCCCCCCGGGAGCTCCTGACACTCAGTCCCCATCCTGGGCAGCAGATCTGGGTACTCAAGGGACAGTTCAGATGTCTAGACCTGGACAGACATCTGAGGCAGCCCAGGTATGAATAAGGTAAAGGGAAGGCAAGTTTGGGCTGCTTTGTTCAGGGTCTAGAGAACAGGACTGTGAGGCCAGGGCCATAGCCTTTCCCCACAAACAGAGCACATGCACAGCCCTCATGGTGCCATTTGTTCCCACAAGGCCTGGCGGGGCACAGTATGCCTCTCCCACCTACAGAGAAATGACACGGAGTCCTCTTCATTCCATGCCAGGGAAAGAGAGCCTTTGCATGTAGTTATCTGAATTACCATCTTAAAACAGCCCTGCCAAACTCAGCCACATGTGAGGGAGCTTCAGGTGTGCACACACAGACCTCCCCGCTCAGTCCTTGCTGTTTATGGAGTTCTCCGCCCATCTGCACTCTTCCCCCCAAGCGACATATGTGGCCCCCGGGCTCACCGAGAAAGGACACGCAGACTTTGCAGAAGGTGTGGAACTGGAACTTGCTGGCCGCCTCCAGCAGTGTCTTGGCGTTGGCCGAGTCGATGACCAGGGAGCCCGTGTAGACAAACTCCAGCAGCAACTCCAGGACGTCTGCCTGCAGGTTCGACAGGACGAGCTCCAGCTTCTCCCGGCCGCCCTGGCCGCTGTCTTGCACGGACCTAGGCACAGAGACCAGGGTGTCCTTACCTCCTGCCCTGCGGCCACCGTGCCGCTTCCTCACAGGGCTAGATCTCCCTGCACACCTTGGTCATGCCCTTGGTTTTAGGGCTCAAAGGACACGGCAATGACACACCTGAACCTAATGCTGTGACACGGGATCTGAAAGAGAAGAGTCTGACCAGAGACGCCCAAAAGAACAGAAAACCCTGCTTATCACTACTCGGCATGTCCATGCAAAAAAAGATGCAAATCAAAAAGCATGAGCTATGGATGGGGACGAGGACCAGGACTGGCCTCAAAGGGAAACAATACGGTTCAGCCCACTGCAGGCCCTGGTGTCTCCACCAAAGCAGGCCGACGCATCCCAGCCCGGCCCTGCCTGCCTTGGGTGGCAGATTCTCCAACGTGACCCAGGCTTGGGAGGCTCCCAACTGGCTGTGATGCCAGCCAATCCAGAGATATCCTCTGATCGCCCCAGGACCGAGGGCCCCAAGTTGCCCCAGAACCCGCTCCAACCCCACCTCTTTCCAAAAACATATTGTTTCCTTTTAGGCATGAAAAGGAAGCCCTTCGTGACATTGCTTTGAAACTGAGGACAAGACGAGATAGACGGACAGAATGGTGAGAGCCGGGAGGAGGGGAGAGGAAACAACCAAGGACTTCCGCCACAGACAGCCAGCAGCCATGACCTGGGGCCTGGCCCGGGGCGGGCCCTCCTGCCACATGGAACACGGGGTCAGAGGTCAGAGTGGCCTGCGTGTAGAGTGTGCGTCGGGCTGGGGAACTGGGGGGAGCAGGGGAGGGACACAAATATATAAATCTGTTTATATCTGGTGTCTACAGGAATACAAAACCATTGCAAAGGCTCCTAAGGCCTGGCAGCTGCCCCTAAAGCTGGACCTGGAAGGAAACAGATAAGATGAAGCAAGAGTGACACTGATACATAAGTGACAGCAGGAGTAAAAACACCTGCCGCGTTAGGAGTCCGGAGGCGGCCCCGCAGGCCGTCGGCTTGGCCGCCCCATCCTGGCTCCTCTGAGTAGCCCTGCTTCCCACCCTGAGCCCGGTCCTGCCTCGGGCTGGGCCTGGCCACGTGGCTGGGAAATGACCTCTGTGGTCCACTCACTCGCTTCTCAGGAGGCCACAGGGCAAGATGCTTGTGACGGGTCCCTTGCGCGCACCTGCGGCTGGCGGTGGGGCTGTCGAGGTGTCCAGCAAGCGAGCAGGCTGGCCGCAGAGAGGCCAGCTGCTGGGTGTGTGGGTGGGCGGAAAGAGCAGGGGGCAGGGAGCTGGGGGCACTGGGTGCCTGGGCTCTGCCACCCACAGGTGGGCAGCCTTGGTCTCCCGGGCCCTCAGCCTCCTCTTCTGCAAAATAAGAGGATGGAACTAGATGAGGTCTGAATTCCCTTGGAGATTTTGTGACAGAGGCTGGAAAATGCCCTTCCCACGAGACTCTTCCCTACGTGGCAGTACCTGAAATTCCACCATTAGAGCGACATTCTCTGAGGTCAGGCACCGCCCTCCCAGGGCCTCAGCACAGGCATGGCCAGGAGGAGAGGGGGAGGTGCAATCCTGCTGCGGAGCTGGCGTCCAGCCTCTCTCCCAGCGTGGCCACAGTAGGCCCTCCCCACACAACGGCTCATCCCACCAGGACCCCAAGGGGCCTCTGCCTCCAAGCCCGGGGCCAGCCCAGAAGGCAGAGGGGGCAAGGTGTGGACTCCACAGAGGCCCCTCCAAACCCCCCAACACAGAGTGACTTCTAAAGTGAATTCACACACCTAGTCTTCTGCTGTCAGGATGGATTTCCATACCTCGGTGGCTTTGTTAAGCGTAAAAATAATTCACTACGTGATCACTTAAAATCACAGAAATCCTCAACACCCCCGGCCCCAGAGCCATCTGGTCAACCTCGTACTCCTGTCTTTGCTGCCTGGGACTTCATTCCTACAAGCCGCTGTCCAGCCTCTCCTCTGCATGCCCTTTCTGCCCTGTGGAGGTCACACTGGGCCACAGCCTTCTCCCGAGGCCCCCAGTCACTGCTGCCTTCACCTCTGGCCAGCCCACTTGTCCACCCAGGAGTCCTCAGGCAGAGGAGCTCAAAGCCAGTGAAGGGCTGAGCCCAGGGGGACTTCAGGATGTGCGAGCACATGCACACGCACACATATGCACTGACCCTAAGAGCCGTGAAGTCCCCCGGTGGGGAGGGGTGCTGGGCAGACGGACAGTCCATGGCTGAGTGACAGGTGCGATGGGACTCACATGGCTGCCCTGAGGGGTGCTGCCTGTCTTGCCCACAGTCTGAGCCAGGGAGTGGGTCCTGGCCACCAGGCACAGGAGGAGGGACACAGGTGCCGTGGAGCATCGCAGGTGCTGTCTAGACTGAGGAGGACCCCTGGCCACAGGAGGCATGGCTGTGGCTCTGTTCCTCCTGGCCCCTTGTGAGGGTCACCTGTGGGGTGGAGGGGGCCGCTGGGCAGATGATCTGCAGGGAAAGGCCGCAGAGGCACAGGGGAATGTGATGGGGGCTCTTTCAGAATCTGAGTTCAAAGAGGAGGCGAGGCCCCAGAGGGCGAGGGCTGTGCCTCTTACCAACACACACGGTTCTCATCCACACAGGCCTTCGTGCATGGCCTGCAGAGCTGTGAGGGGGTGGGGGCGCCTCTGTATCCCTGGACATCAGACTGTCTTGGGACTGGACCCCAGTGCTCCTTAGGCCTCTTCTCTCTGAACAGGGACCCCAGAGGGGACACCCCCGTGATGGGTGACCCTGGTCGCTGACGAGGGCTGCGTCCTCCACAGGTGGCTGTTCTGTCCCTGCCCCAAGCCATTTCTTGTCCTGTCCTACCGGGCCCCATGGAGTGAATGGCTTGGGGTGCTGCTGGCCCATCAGGTCATGATGTGGCTTTGGAGGGACTGCAGCAGGGCAGACGGGCAGCACTAACCCTCTCTATGAAGCTGACGCAGGGGGGTGGGGTATAGAGTGAGGGCAGGCTGGTGCTCCCCAGCCACACAGGCCCCATGGGGTCTGTCAGAAGACCAGAGCTTCCTGGAGTCACCTACTTCTGGGCGTGGGGGTGCCCAGGAGAGGCCAGAGTCCGGGACGCAGCCTCTGCTCAGCAGAGGAATGGCTAGGCCCAACTACTAGAATGTTTGCAATCCCACCATTAGCCACAGACTCATCCAGGATTAGAAATGCCCTTCCTTCCAGACATCAGGATGGAGGCCCTCATCCACCCTCATGCACCTCAGAGATCAGATGTTTTCATTTTGCAAGTTGGAACTGGGCACTGTCTGGAGCAATGAGAGGAATCCATGGGCAGTGGTGGGTGAGGGACAGGCATGGGGCAGGTGGCTGGTACCCAGCTCTGCTCAGAAGAGAGGACTCCGCCCATGAATGAACGCCTGGGCGTGTCATCAGCTGCAGGACACACGCATGGGCATGCACCCAGTCTCCCTGGGTCTTGGGGATTTGTGTGGCTCAGGCCCACCCTTGGTAACTTGGTGACAGGTGTGGGTGACGCCATTGTGCCAGCATCCAAGATGAGACATGGGAGTCTCGTTATCTGGCTTCCAAGCCACACCTGTCCACTCTACCGAGGTGCTGCCACCCACACATGCTCAGGGAAGAGGGTGAAGGGTGTGGGGCTCTGGGCAGGACTTTGCCGGGACCCTTCTGCATGGCCATGGGGGGCAGCCAAGCCCAAAGGGACTCGGCCGCAGGCTGGGAGAGGACACTGAGACCCAGCTCTCCCGCTCATGGTCTGACTGTCATCTTTACAAAACACACATCTGGTCGCAACGCCCCCAGGCTCCTGTGACCCAGGTCTAGCCTCCCTCCAGCCGCGTCCCCTGCAAGCCACCCTCATACCCGGCCCTGCAGCAACGTGGAGTCACCTGTGGGACCTGAGACCCCCTCCCGCCTTTCGACCTTGCTCTTCCCCACTTGTCTGCCCGGACAATGCCCATTCTTCATAACCCACATCAGATGCCACCTCTCCAAGGAGCCTCTCTGAATGACCCTCCCCCACAGCCAGGCCCTTGGACCACAAGTCTCTGAAGCATCGTCTCTGCTCGTCTCCTTGCCTGTCTGCAGCGTGTCCCCACCAGACTGTGGGCTCAGCTGGTGTTTGGTGTGAGCCCCGGCCCCAGGAGGGGCTCCTGTGTGTTTGCTGAGTGACGAGCCAGTGAGTGACTTGAATTCCCATTCTGTCCTGTGGCTGTGGGGCAGGGCGTCTGCACTGGGGTTGGGTCTGGCAGGCACCGTCCTTGCCAGGCTTGGGTGCTGGGTCATTGTCCTCCCTGGGGCTGGAGTGGTGGACACATCACCTGTCCCAGGCTGGTGGTGGGAGTCTAGTCTGAGCCTCCAGACCTGGGGATGCGGGGACAGCAGGGAGGGATCACCTGCCCCTGGCAGGGCTCACCCAGGGAGGGCCAATGTTGATCCCCACGGAGGTCTACACCAGGACAGAGGTCCCAGAGAAGGTCCCTACTCCCTCCCCTTACAAGAGTGCAGCTGCCTGAGCGTGGAGCCACTGCTTGGGGTCAAAGGGCAGGGCCATGGCTCTGCACTGGGCCAATCCGGCCACTGCACAGTAAGTCTCCAGGGTCACGGATGCCAAGGGGACTGAAAAGACATGGTTACATCAGCTTCTCTCTTGACCACCAAGAATGTGAAATTCTCTATGATTTTACACGGCAGGAAAGGAAGCCATCTTCTTGTAAAGACTTGGCTTTCCTCCCAAGAAGGCACTTCTTGGTCATGTGTGCTCTGTGGCTGCAAACGAACACGGCGACTTTCAGCCACAGGGCACCCTGGGCTTGGCTTTGGCTTCCCCTCCTTTTTCCTGTGTGACCTTACTGTATGCTGAAGGCCCCCCAGCCCCATCTCTACAAACCTCAGACCTCTCTGGGTTCAGTTCCATGCACCTGGCTGCCTACAGGTGGCCCAACCTGGGGACCTGGGCGTCCGTCAGGCTGCTCAGCTTGACACACCAGATGGTCAACTGCTCATCTCCCCAGCTCTCCCGACACTGGCCTGTGGACCTGCTCTCCTCCCTGTGACCTCTGATGCCCGTGACCTCTGATGCCCGTGACACCTCACCTCCTTGGGTCCTGGTGCTTGCCTTTCCGTCCTGGTCCTGCCCATCCTCTGCCCATCCCCCGGAGGTGTCAGAGCTGCAAGGAGACCTGGGCATCACTTGAACCAATTTCCTGATTTATAGATGAGAAAGCCCAGGGCGCAGGAGAGGACGTGACCAGTCTGAGGTCACAAGACAAGCGGCGGAGTCAGGCGTAGGACCCAGGTCTCCTACCTGCCAAGGTGGGGATGTCCTCTCTCCTCCAGCCCCATCCTTTCTGATGAGGGCCACCGAGACACATCCTACTGTTCTCCTTCCTTCAGGTGGGCGTCCCCTCCCCACTGCTCTTGAAGTTACCCACCTCAGACCATGCCCAGGTCCTAGCATGGGGTCAGGGCTTGCCTGCCCCAGTGCAGCCCCCTCTGGAGGGCCATCTGCCCCACCCTGCCCTTCCCCACTCATGCCCCATCCCCGGCCTGGAATGCTCTTCCTCCCTCTTCTCAGCCCAAGAAGCCTTCACTACTTTGGGTTCCCTCCTAGCACGTGTTCTTCTCTGTTGTGTGCAAGTCTGGCTTTCAATGTGCGGTCTCTGAAAGCCATCCGAGGGCCCTGTGCTCCTCTCACCCACCACGTTCTAGCTGGGGACTAGGCTGCCGCTCAGCACTGACCTGCCCCCTTTCTGTCCTCTCTAGCTGGTTTGGAGCCAGGCCCAAGACCCTAGGACGCTCATCCATGATCCGGCAGCCCGATGCGGGCCCCTGCTGTCCAGGATTTGTCAAGAGTGGCAGCACAGAGTCCTCCCTGGCCTGGTGAGGCCACTAGACATGTCCCTTCACCCCAGACCACATGCCCCTAACCCCTGTGCTTGGACAGAGAGAGCCCAAGCACCGGGGGCAGGAGACCTGAGGTGTCCATGAGATGGGAAGTCCCAAAGAGCCTGCCCCTTCCTGCGAGGCTGAGGGCCGGCATGTGGCCAGCCAGAGCCTGCCCACAGGGCAGCTGGGCTCTATGTGAAAGGCCGGATCGGAGAGGAGATGCCAGCCAGGGATCCATCCTGAAACAAAACACAGTCACTCCGGGGTTAGTTGGCAAGTCCAAACACGGCATTGGGAAGCAGAGGTCCTGTCCTCCCTCTGAGCACAGTCCCGGCTCAGCGTCTGCCCCGGAGAGGCTGCAAGGCAAGAGGAGCAGCGGCGTTAATCTGCTGAGGGCTGAGAGAAACGTGAGCGTTACCCTGGGCTGGCCCCTTGGCTGCTCTCCCTTACTACGGAGCTGGAAGGTGGCCCCTGACTTCTTTGCAAAGGTATGAAGCAGACAAATTAAAAAATCAACATAATGGAGGAAAAAAAAAAAGATGCTCATGCACCAATAAGACTCATTCAGGTAGAAATAGCCAGGGCAGAGGGCAGGAGGGAGGGAGCAAGGGTTGAGAGAGACCGTGTTTAGGACACACCTGGTCTATGCTCCACAGCGCCGGTTTAGGCTCACTGCACAAGGATCAGACATGCAGTGTGGCCCAGGCATTGCTACAAGTCTCTTCTCCCCTACTTGGGCTGGGGAAAAGCAGCCCCGGGGGCACCTTGTGCTCCTCAGCAGGGACAGCCTGGCCGATGCGCTTTCCTGGCATTAGTCACCACCGACAGCAGGGACGATGGCACTGGGGATCCTGCTCTGGCCCGGTGGGGGCAGTGTGTAGTGATCCCTTAAAATGGAGCCTACAGTCCCCCCTAATCTCAGGGACAGCTTGTGAGCCACTGAGAACCTGGGATCTCAGGGGTGGGGCACGGTGTTGTCTACTGCTGGCAGAGGCCCCTGGTGACCAGCAAAGCTGGTGACAGCAAAGCTGTGGGTGGGGGCGGGTGCTGGGCGCAGTGGCTGCTCTGAGGCTGTGTGTGAGAGGGTACTGGGGAGGAGGAGGAGGAGGAGGAGGAGAGATGGCTACTGGCTCTGTGACAGGGAGTCACGCTTCAGGAACCTGCAAGAGAGGGGAAGAGAAAAGCGACACAAAAGCGTCCTACAAAGGAACAGACCCGACCACAGCTGGAAGGAAGGCAAACCTTTGAATCAGGTCCTTGAAATACAAGCTGCAGGAAGCTAGAACATTTTGGTGGACTTCAAACTCTCTGCCTTCAACAACAATTTTCAGGTCTGTAAACGCTTTCGCTCTGCGTTGCTGGTTCAATTCCTTCAACATTTCTGCAGAACAGAGAAGACAGACAGGGCCAGGTTCCCATTAAGAGTTTTTTTTTTTTTAATTAAAAAAAGTTTTTTTTCTTTTTTCAAGAAGTAGAGAAATAGGAAATACTTGATATTGTTTCTTGGCAAGACTGGCTCAACACTGACAGTCAAAAGAAGTCACAAACATAATGCATAAACAAGCAGCCACTGGGAGGGGCTAATAACCAAAGGAATCACAACTTTAAAAAGCAAAAAAACCAAATATGATACAAAAAATCAAACCCAGAAATTGAAAGGTTGGGGGAGAGATTCCCATACTGACGATTGGAAACATAGAGAATACATTATCACAGACAACTAAAAACTGTCAAATAACTACGGAGCAAGTTCTCCAAATGCCAATGGGTGCCGATGTATTGGAGACCAAGTCAAGCATGGCACTGTGATGTAAGATGGGCTGGATATGGTTCAAAGGAATCACAACCACAAAACCTGCAAAAACAGCGTCCCTTATGTTAGACACTCACAGCCATGGCGTGGGAGGAGACCCCGAGAAAGGAGGGGGCCATGGGAGGCCTGGCAAGCACCTCCTTCTGTTTCACACTTGTGGGGACTTTTCGGGAAAGCAAGCAAGCAAGGGACAGGGACCCTCTGCGCCTCCTCCCATGTCCCAGTTGAGTCTCTCAGGACACCCACCCTCTCCTGGGGCTTTGACATGGGGCAGAGCCTGCTTTACAGCCCGGCAGATCCCAGGAAGTGGCCTCGGAGGCTCCCACTCTGCTGCACACCTACCTGTGCCCGGTGTCTTGGACCTGGGGCTGGCACAGACAGTGCCCGGGCCCATGGGCTCCAGACCTGGGGATGTCAGAAGCTTCTCCCAGACCCACCCCAAGGCTTAGAAAGGAGAAGGAGGGAAGAGCCTGCCAGTCACCCTGTTGGGGTTGCACACTCTCTTTCATTGGCAAAAGTTAGGGCCTTCAGTTGACCACTGCTCCCCACAACAGCCTTGCCTCATCTGCCTGCCCCCAGGATCCCCTGGGCAAAGCCTGCCCTTAATGTTGCTGGCAGCTGCGCGTCAGAGGCCCTGATCCTTGGGCCAGAATGACCTAGACTGTCTTCAGGCCAGGCGATTTCCCTTGGCAGGTGTGTGGGAGAGGGTGGCCTGCAGAGCTGAGCCCTGCTCTCCAGCCCCACCGGCCATCGCCCCTGCTCCAGCCTCATTGGTTGTTGCTGTCCACATGGGCCAGGGCCGGCTGCCCGCCAGGACTCCTTCCTGGCCCCAGCCCTGCTTCTGACACTTGGCCAAGACCCTTTGTCTCTCTGAGCCTCTGCTTCTGCATCTGTAAAATGGGGATTGAGGATCCTGCTTCTGCTCCCTGATTGCCAGGCAGGCCCTTTTTGGTGAGGACACACTGGGCTCTGCTGAAGACCAAGGAAGACGGTGGGAGGGGCTCCTGGAGAACACGCCACATGCATGTTCAGGGATCGGGGTTGGGGGCCCTGCCCTCTGGGAGCCATGGCAAGGCCGAATCACTGACCCCGCCAACCCCAAGTCACACTGAGTCTGGAGTCACAGCAGAGCATCTCCAGGGGTGCGGAAGGGGGCTCTGGCTGGGACTTCAGGAAGGATCTACGTGGGGTGAGCTCAGACCCGGAGCAAGGGGGGTGGGAGCTACAGACAGAGACCAACAGGCTCAGAGCACCAGTGGGAGGGCGCGGGAGGGTGCGGGAGGGTGTGGGAGGGTGCAGGAGCACGAGGGGGCAGGTGCAGGTGGACAAAAGGGCCATGGGCAACAGGGAACACAATGAGGCGGTGGGCGGGGCCAGATCGCAACAGTCTTGCCTGGGAGCTCCAGCTTCATCCTGGGGCACCAGGGAGCCACAGGGGATTCTGGACAGGAAGTGGCAAGGTTAGACTTGGGTTTCAGACAAATCCACACAGAGGCAGGATGGGGAGTGGCTTGGGAGGCCAATGGGAGGCAAGATAGCGCCGTGCAGAGAGTTGAGCCTCGAAGCCAGACCTGAGGGTGAACCTGCACTGGGCCTCCTATCAGCTCTGTGACCTTGGGAAAGGGGACCCACATCCTCAGAGCCTCAGGGTCCACACTTGTTGAAGGTTCCATGAGACAGCATGTGGCGGGCACACAGGGAGCGCTCAGCGGGTGGGAGTGTGCAGTGCTGCTGATGGTGACGGTCTTTCCGAGGGAGAGGTGAGAAGGCCGGAATTACACAGCAACAGCAGGACAGAGAAACAGGAGCGTGTGGACCCCGTGGGGCTCAGTGCAGGAAGGAAGTGGGGAGGGGGAGGCATGGAGACCACTAACAGGTTTTTGGAGGGGATGGTGGTGGGACATCAGGAAGGGAGGGAACAAGAAGATCAGTTGTGGGGTGGGGCCTGTGGGACACCTGGGGGATGGGGTAGGAGGCGGTGGATAGAGGCCTGGGCTAGAGACAAGGTAGAGAGCCCAGCGGCGCCTGCGCACAGCCCAGGCGGAGGGGAGACAGCACAGGGCCAGTTGCAGGGCCAGGCTGGATAAGGCTCAGCTGCCATGCTCACACGTATCTCCAGAAAGAGTCACCAGCCGAATTAATGCCCAAACCACGAGCCAGGTAGATGACATCCCCTTTTTGAGTGAAGCGGTAGGGGAGGGGACAGAATTCTGGGCTGGGATTCTGAAGACCTGGATCCTGGTTCTTGTTCCAGCACTGCCACTAATTGGTGTGTGACCCTGGGCCAGCACCCCAGCTTTCTGGGCCTCTGTTTCCTCTAGCACAGAAGGGCAGAGACACCTGCTTGGTAGCCCCCTGGGTGTCATGCTGCAGAGAGTGACAGATGTGGCCCCACATGCCTGCTGAGTTAATCAGTGCTTAGGGGCCTGGAAAACACAACAGCACACAAATGCCTACTCTTTCTGGGCCCGAGGCATCCTGAGGGTTTCTGAAGACCTTCCTTTCAAATCGAGGTCCCGGCAATGATTCTATCTAAAGCCCCAGCCCCGGCCGTGACACCTTCTGCTCCAGGAATTCTGGAGCTAGACCTGGAAGGCGCTTGGAGGTTCAGGTGTCCCCATCCTAATGTAGGTGCTTTCTGCTCTCTCTGAATCTCACTTGGTGGAAATCTGGATTTAATAGTTGGGGAAGATTATTCACTTTCAGAAGAATTTTTCAATTTATGAAAGTGCTCACCAGGGGATTCCCAGCAGGCCCCAAGTGCATTCCTAGTATCGATTGGCTGGTGTGTGCGGGCTGCTGCCCACTGCCTGCCCGGCCGGCGAAGCAGGAGCTTAGGCTCTCAGGCTGTGCCTGTCGGTGGGGAGACCCAGAATCCACAAGGGGACACCAGGACCCGCTGGGCACAGGCTGCCCTCCTCCCTGCCCCATGTTTTGGCAAAGGACACTCCCTGATCTCTGAGAAGCTTCCAAGTGAGGTGTGTGGGATTGCTGCGGGGTCTGGGGAGATCTTCCAACAACATGGCCTATTCTCAGGTGTGGGAGATTTGCAGGCCTCGGGGCTGGGTCTTCAGAGTGGACTTCCAGAAGCACCTGGCACCCTGCACTATCCTGCTCCAGGATTCTGCGGGAGAAGATGATGGCCTAGAGACCCCAGGAGAAGATGGCCTAGAGACCCCAGGAGAAGATGGCCTAGAGACCCCAGGAGAAGATGGCCTAGAGACCCCAGGGGAAGATGGCCTAGAGACCCCAGGGGAAGATGGCCTAGAGACCCCAGGGGAAGATGGCCTAGAGAGCCCAGGAGAAGATGGCCTAGAGACCCCAGGAGAAGATGGCCTAGAGAGCCCATGACCCTCCCTGCATGGAGGCTCGGTGGGGTCTGGCGAGTGGAGTCCTGGCAGCTGAGCCTACCAGGTGGGATGAAGACTTGGCCTCAGCATCTGTCCCTGTTGGTCGGCCCCAGAGGTTGTTTTTGGGTCTCCTCGGCTTTGAGCGGGATGCCCGCCTACGTCTGTGGGACTGCACACCCTGGCCTTGCTCACGGAAGTGGCTTCCCCATGCTCAGATTTTTGTCCCAGGCCTCTTTGCCCCTTTCCCCACTTCCTCCTGCATGCCCAGGATGCTCGACTCAGCGCCCAGCATGGAGCTCCTCTTCCCGTGGAAGACGGTCCACTGCCCGCAATCCGCAGGCCTTCCCCAGACTCCTCCCCTCCCTCATCACACCAAGTCCCATCTTTTTACCTCCTAGAATTCTCAGGATCCAGCCTCTCCTGCCCTAGGCCCTCCAGCACCCTGAGTGAGCTGCCCTCATCTTTCACTTGAGTCACTGCAACAGCCTCTGAGGATGTCTCCCTGTTTCCAGCCTGTCCCCCTCCAGGCCACCTCCACACTGCATCCTCACAGCCACTGGCCACACAAATCCTTCGGGGCTGAAGGGGCAGCACAGCCCTCTGGGAGGTCTCCCCGTTCCCTCCGCTCCTCCTCCACTCCCAGGGGACCCTTTGCTCCCCAGCGAAGCCTCCTTGCACCCCACACACGTCCCCACTCCAAGTCTCCGTCCCCTCCGCCTGGATCTTCCCTCCCCTTCCTCCATCTGGCCAAGCAGTATTTATCCTTCACCACCAGGGAAAGTGTTATTTTGTCCTGGGCCTCTTTGCCTCCTTCCCCTCTTCCTCCCACACCCTCTGCCCTCTGCCCTCCTCCGGAGGCTGGCAGAACAACTTGTGCTCACTTCTTTATCGATACTAGGAGTTGTAATTATTTATTTACATGTCTGCCTCCTGCACTAGACTATGTTTTATTCATATTTTTATCTTCGACACTCAGCACAGGGCCTGGCATACATATATATATATCTGGTGTGATGGATGGCAAATATTCTTTGTAGCTTCCCCCGTCAAGAGGTGGAGATGATTTCCCTACCCTTTGAATCTTGGCTGGCTTTGTGATTTGCTTTGGACTACAGAATGTGGTGGAAGTGACCCTGTGAAAATGTGAGTCACGGCCTTAAGAAGCTTTGCTCACTTTCACTCACTCTCCAGGGACCCCTGGCACCACCACCATAGGAACAAGCCTGGGCTAGCCTGTTGGAGCATGAGAGACTGTGTGGAGCAGAAACGAGCTGTCCCAGATGAGGCATTTAGACCAGCCAGTCTCTGCCAATATCAGCCAGGCCTGACCTAGATTGGCTGAGTGTAGTCCAAACTGCTAAACCAGGATCACAATCTAAATAAGTGGCTGTTTTTAAAACACTCAATTTTAAGTCACTGAATTTTAGAATTGTTTGTTAAGCAGCAAGAGCTAACTGATACACAAGGCATGAATAGATGATGGACTCAAGTGCTCAGGGAACTTTCCCTGTGTTGGTTTCACCTTTGCTAGTTCAGTTTGAGGCTAATTCTTTTTTTTTTTTTTTAGTTGTGGTAAAATGTACCCATTTTAAAGTGTCCAGTTCAGTTGTGTTAAGTATATTCACACTGTTGGGCAATCCTCTGGAATCCTTTTCATCTTCACAAACGGAAACTCCACACCCATTAAACAACCACTCCCCACCTCCCCTCCACTCATCCCCGGCAACCACCATTCTACTTTCTGTCTCTATGAGTTTGACTATTTTAGACCCTCTTATAAGTGGAATTATGCAATATTTGTCCTGTGAATGGCTTTATTTCACCTAGCATAATGTCCTTAAGGTTCACCCACATGGTAGCATGCATCAGGATTTCCCTCCTTTTTAAGGCTGGCTAATATTCCACTGTATGTAGATACCACATACTGTTTAACCATTCATCCTTTGATGGACGCTTGGGTTGCTGCCACCATTTTGCTATTGTAAACAATGCTGCTATGAGCACTTATTTAGACTGTGACTCTGGTTTGGCAGTTTGGGCTACACTCAGCAGATCTAGGTCAGGCCTGGCTGATATTGGCAGAGACTGGCCGGTCTAAATGTCTCATCTGGGACAACTCATTTCTGCTCCACGTGGTCTCTCATGCTCCAACAGGCTAGCCCAGGCTCATTCCTATGATAGTGGTGCCAGGGGTCCCCGGAGAGTGAGTGAAAGTGAGCAAAGCTTCTTGAGGCCATAGCTCCCATTCAGTTCTCACCCCCGAGTTATGGACCAGATATCCCCTCTAACGACCCGTCTCAAACCCCATTGGTTCTAAGTGGTGAGTGTAAAATGGCTCTGTGGATGCAGCGGCAAGTGGCACGAGGGAATGGGGACTGGAAGAGGCTCTGCCTGGGGCTGGATGCTTTGCCTAGAGGAGAGTGAAGCCACAAACAGAACCAAGGCTGGAGATGAAGTTGCAGCCAAACTTCTGCATATTTTTCACCAAACGACACAAGTTATTTGTCAGAGACTAATGGGCTCGTTCTGGCTGGCCTATAAGGGCTGTATGAGATGGTAATAAAGAGGAAGAGATGTCAAATATTAAAAGGCAAAGAATTTCAGTGGCTTTGCAGCAGAGAAGTCCATTAAATCAGAGCCTTGAGAAAGGTTGTGTGGCCAAATCATTTTTTTCAGAGCTCAAGTAAGAACCCAGCTAGGTGATAAATGCTTCCCATCCCATTGGTATGTATGACACATATTTGATAAAGGACCTGAAAAAATTATAAACTCAGAGCAGTTGTGAAATATACTGAGAAAGCCCAGCAAAGACAGTGTCAGGCAGGCCCAGAGGGTAATTCATCCAGGAGCAGGGAGCGCGACGCATGCTGACACTGTGGGGACAAATGGGGGCTTTACACAAACAGAACGTCCCGCTGCTGCTCCACGCGCCTCCCAAGCGGAATGTTGCCCTCCCTCCCCGGTCTGATCAGATATGCATTTCTTCCCCTACTTCTTTTCCAAAGAAGAGTTGGCCTCAGAATAAACCCTGAAGGCCAAGAGCGGGCTCCAGCTTCCAGGTGAGACAGAATGAAACCACCTGCGGGCGGCACCTGTGGGTCGCTCGTCCAGCCTGAGTCGGACGTGTGACACCTGAGGCCCTATGCAGGCAAACCCTCCTAGGAACCATGAAACACTCTGACTTCTTGCCTGGACTTAGGGTTTTAGTGAAGAGCCCTTCTGGCTTTCCTGTGGTCCAAATGGGAATTTCTGCCATTTATCTAAAAGGGAGCCAAAGTCCTAGGAACAGTTACAACCTCACCCACTAGCCTGCTGTTTCCAAACTGATGACACTGGATGACAAGGCCTATTTACTGAGCAGTGATATCTGGCCTCAGAGGTCCCCTCCGTGCCTACAGCCCCTGACCCAGGGCTGCACACCAGTGGGTGCGGGTGGGACTGAAGACTGCCTTCCAGCTGGAACATTCTCATGCCCTCTAAGATGATAGAAAATTTGCTTCTATTTTTCTCCTTAACATTTTTTGAAATCATCATAAAATTAACAGAAATATTCCCTTCTCTTTCCCTGGGTTTGTGCCCCTGTCCCTTAGGTCCAAGGATTGAACAGAGGTGGCTGCCAGCTTGGGCCGTGGGTAGTGCGACTGGGAGACCTAGATCTAGTCACAGATTCACCTCAATCTTCCTGTGACCTTGAGTGGGGGCTCTTTCTTCACCTAGGGTCCACCAGACCAAGGGCTGCCTTGATCCCTTATTTCCAAACTCCTTACCATGGGCTCCTGCAGGCTTCTATGACCTGACCTGACCTGTGCTCACAGCTTCATATTCTATCATGTTCCACGCATCCCCCAACTCTCTAAGTTCACAGGCAGTTCATCCTGTTCCTTCACTTTGAATGTTTCTCTTTCTGCCTTTGGCCAGGGTTTCTCCTACACTTGCTTCCTAGGGTCCCATCCATTCCTTAAGCCTCACCCTATTATTGTTATTATTTTGTAGAGACAGGGTCTCGCCATGTTGCTCAGGCTGATCTCAAACTCCTGACCTCAAGTGATTCTCCTGGCTTGGCTTCTCAAAGCATTGGGATTACAGGTGTGAGCCACCATGGCTGGCTGTAAGCCTCACTTAAAATCCCATCCTCGGCCAGGTGCGGTGGCTCACTCCTGTAATCCCAGCACTTTGGGAGGCTGAGGCGGGCAGATCACGAGGTCAGGAGATCAAGACCATCCTGGCTAACACGGTGAAACCCCGTCTTTACTAAAAATAGAAAAAATTAGCCGGGCATGGTAGCAGACGCCTGTAGTCCCAGCTACTCAGGAGGCGGAGGCAGGAGAATGGTGTGAACCCGGGAAGCGGAGCTTGCAGTGAGCTGAGATCGCGCCACTGCACTCCAGCCCAGGCGACAGAGCAGACTCTGTCTCAAAAAAAAAAAAAACAAAAAACCCATCCTCCAAAAATTCTTACAGATTCCCTCAGTTGCCATTAACTTCACTCTCTCCTGTGGTCCCATGAGACTTGGTACCTCTATTGGAGTAGAGACCCTTGGCTGCCTTATTACAGAGGAATGTCTGTCTGTCTGTCTCCTTTCTAATTTGTGATCTTCTGGAGGGCTTTTCTCTCTGGCCTCCTGAGCACCTGGCGCCATGTTTTGCACAAAAAGTTCCCTTCTGATTGGAATTCATTGTGGGTTACAGACCACATGCAGATGCGTGCTAGGGGGTTAGATCACATTCCCCCAAATGTGATCCACTGGAACTATTTGAAATACCACAGTTGTGTGGAATCGGATGGACAGAATGTAAAAGTCAAGCCCCTCTAACTTCAGGCAACACTGGTGCTAATAACGGCGATAACCCTGCGCTTCGTATGCAATCTACAGTTGCTAAAGCATTGGCACATTAATTATTTAGGTCCTCCTTGGGGAGAGATTTAATTATTCTGTTCAGCTCCAATGGCTTTGAAGAGCCTTAAATGGCCTTCCTGGGAAGAAGTGACCACCCCAGCAGCCACCAAACACAGGTGCAGCCTGGAGCCCTTGAGGTCGCTCTGCAGAACAGGGTTCTCTCCAAGCTTTGGGTCCCAGCTGCCCGGATCATAAGATCTACCCAAACAAAAACCAAGAACAGATCATTTTCATGGACAGTTCATGCCTTGTGGGCTCAGAGTAGGAGTCAAGGGGTACAGTCTCTTGTTTAGGAAGGAACGGAGGAGGACAGGGGGCAGAGTGTCAGGACCCCATCCCAGCCCAAGGAACCTGGCCAGAGGGTGGGCATTGCAGAGGTGGGGGTGGGTCCTGGGCTGAGCAGGGAAGGCCATGGGCAAATTCCATGGCTGCAGCTGGAGTAAGTGCCTGGTTTGGTTGACACTAGCAGCACGTAGTCCCTCCTGCCTCCAGCAAAAAGGTTGCTACTTGGCTCCTTCCCCTGCTTGGAGGATGGAGGCCGAGGGGTGATGGGAATATTCCGAGCGGGAGAGGAAGAACATGTCATGGGGTGCGGGCAGGGCCGAGAGACCTTGGGAGAAGGCCAGGGCTTGGGAGACTTGGGTGAGAAACAGGGTCAAGGCCAGTGGTGTGAAGAGCTCTGGAGTGGCCAGAGCCAGAGGTGGAGAGGACTTTGTGTGGGGAATTAAACATCCAGGGGAGTCAAGGCAGGACCTGGAAGAGCTCTGTGGGGACTGGAAGCCTGAAGGTGGGCTGGGGGAGGGCCAGGTGAGGGCCAAGGCAGATGGGAGCAGACAGAGGGGGAGGCATTTAGGGGCAGGGTGGCCCTACCGTCCTTTTATGAGGTAGTTGGCCCCACCAGGGGTTAGAACTTGTTACCAGGGAGTGGGGTGTCCTGAGGTGCCTTGGTCCTCAGGGCCAGAAGAGAGACTCGAGTCTGGCCCCAGAAACTGAACTGAATCCAATGTCTGGGGTGGGGGTGAGGGTGGGTGGGTCTCACTCCTCCTCCTGTGCTCATAGCCCTCCATGTCTTCATGTGGAAGAACTGTGTTTTGTCTACAGTGTTATTTATTCAGAGGTGCTGCTGCTTTTCCACTGGAGGTAGGCTCTTGGAAGATGGGGTGGTTCTTGGCTGGAGGGATTGAAGAAGCCAGGATAGATAGTTGGGGCCAGAGGCAAGAGACAAGTTCAGCACCTTGGAGAGCTCTGAGTGCCCTGGGGTCAGGGCAGAATGCCAGGGGAGCTCTATAGGGGTTCGAGGGTGCCCTGGAGCAGCTGACCATGTCCACCGCTGAATGAGGCTGGGGCCCTGACATCCTCCTTCAGAGGCAGACTCAGACCCCAAGTTCTGGGAACCTCAGATGGCTTGTGTCTGTTTGGCCCCTTTGTTTATTCATTAAACTGCTGTTTCCTGTGTGCCAGGTACTGGCGGGGGGAGGGGCGGGTGTTGGGGTCACATGGAAATCGGCACGTGTGCAGAGCTGGGGAGCTCACAGTTTAAAGGGAGACACACTCACAGAGCGTTTGTGTACTTGGAATGCCCTGTGAGAGGAGTCTGACCGGGGCAAGTGCTGGGCAGAGGTGGCACCGAGGAGGGGATGGCTGGTTCTTCCTGACGGAGTCAAGGGAAGACTCAAAAGGTGAGCAGGAGCGCCCCAGCTGGCTGCAGGGGTGAGATGTGAACACAGGCTGAGGTGTGAGAGGGCCATGTTAGGGACTGAAGGTCACTGGTGTGGCTGGCATGTGCTGTGTGCACACATGGTTGTGAGTGTGTGTGCATGCATGTGTATCTACGTGTGTGTTTGAGCATGTGGTGGGTACAAGGGTGTGGGTGTGAACATATGGTGTGTGCAAACATGGAGGGCGTGTGTATGCACCCCTGTGTGCTAATGTATGTGTATGTGAGTGTGAGAGCATGTTGTGTGGGTGTGTGCATGCACCCCTGTGTATGTGCCTGTGTAGGGGTGTGTGTGTGTGAGAGAGAGGATGTGGCATGGGTGTGTGTATGCACCCCTGTGTATGTGTCTGTGTAGGGGTGTGTGTGTATGTGTGTGTGTGAGAGGAGGTGGTATGGGTGTGTATGCACCCCTGTGTATGTGCCCATGTATGTGTGTGAGCATGTGGCATGGGCGTGTGTATGTGCCCTCATGTATGCATATGTGTATGGAAGCATGTGGTGTGGGGGCGTGTATGCATCCCTGTGAATGTGCCCATGTGTGTATGTGTGAGAGAGACAGCATGTGGTGTGGGGGTGTGTACGTGCCTGTATGTGTATGTACATGCAAGCACGTGGTGTGGACGTGTGCATGCACCCTGTGTATGTGTCTGTGTGTATGCAAGTGTGAGGATGGGTGTATGTGTGTCCTCTTGTGTACAGTGCATGTGAGCACGTGGTGTGGGAGTGTGTCCTCTTGTGTATAGTGCATGTGAGCACGTGGTGTGGGTGTGTGTCTGTGCCTGTGTCTGTGTAGATGTGTGTGTGAGACAGCATGTGGCATGGGTGCGTGTCTGTGCCCTTGTGTATGTGTGTGTGAGCATGAGGCCTGGCATGTGAGAAGCAGAGGGAAAAGCTGCAGATCAAGGCAAACCTGTATCTGACAGTGAAACAAGCAAACCAACCCATCATCTTTTTCCCCTAGCAGGCTGGAGGCCACTGGTGGATTTCATGAGGGAGGCTGAGAGCATCAGCTTTGTCTCTGACACTGAAAAGGTTGCTGGAAAGCAGCCGCGAGTGGCCTGACCCTGCACGCACGGGCCCACCTCCCCATGCTCCCCTGGCTTGGGGCTTTCTTTCTCACACCATCATGAGCTCCCTTCTTCTGGGCTGCCCCCTGCCATTCCAGCCCTTTCTGACCCCTCGTCTGAATTTCCCAGGCCGTAGGCAAGCACCCAAAGCATATCATCAGGTGCCCACAAGGCACAGGACACCGGGCCGACACCTGGAGCTGGGGTGAGGTGAGAGCTGCAGAGGCGGGGGCAAGAGGTGAGCAAGACAGCTCCTGTCCCAGGGGAGCACGCAGCTCAGTGTGGACATAGGTGCCCACAGTGAGGAGCTGGATGAGAGAGCTGCAGGGATGGTCAGCTGTGGTGCTAGAGGCCTTATGAGGAAGGAGGGGTGGGTGGCCAGGGCTGAGGGGCCGGGAGTGGGGCCAGGAAGTGCAGGGCTGTGGAGCGACTGCTGGCTGTCTCCAGTGGAGAACCAGACACATATGAGGGGGGCATGTCACTCTGAATCGACTAGCTCAGCACCTCGGTGCATATTTACAGGCCTCCTTCATGCCAGGCCTGGACCATGAAGAGGAAACCACTTTCTGTCCCCAAGGAGCTCAAGTCTGATGGGGAAGGAGCCACTGGAGTGGACGGAGGTGAGTTTGGCTGCTCAGCACTGGAACCCCTTCCTACTGGGGACAATCCCAAGATGGGGGGATCTGGGCCATGTCACTGTGGGGGCCCAGGGGAGGTAGCTCCCTGGTAGCTGGTGTGTGGCCATGAGGCCTGGACTTGGCCGGTTGGGTGCTCTGGCCCTGGACTTCAAAGTTCCAGGAAGGAATGCAAAGACAGTGATGGCCATGGTGGCCGTGATGAACTTGCAAAGCTATGCTCCCCCAGGGCCTGGGCAGGCTCTGCCATAAGTCGCATTTATCATAGGCCTGACATATCCATGTGTCTGTCCCAGTCAGGGCCTGGGATGCCAACCACAGGACCCAGCTCTGTCAGCGAAGCAGAAAGGTATGTATTGGAGGTTGGGGAATGAGGCTGGGAATTGGGGCAGGAATGGAGGCAGTGCAGCCAGGCCCGTCACAGAGACAGTCCCCCTGGCGTCCTACATGGGCGCAGTCTCCCCTGGGAGCCCGCTGCCCTCCATCCCCAGCCAGTGGGCAGCCCTAGGTTCCAGAAGTGGCTGGCTCTGCATCTACTCATGAGACCACCTCCTACTCTCTTTCCATTCGGAGGCCCCGGCTGGCTGGCCTCCACTGGGGGTCCTAGGGAGCTGGGTGGACAGCTGTTGTGGGGTGTAGGGAGGGGCTGGCTGGGAAAAGGCCGAGTGAGCAGCCTCAGGGCTTCTGCTTCCAAAGCTGCAGACCCACAGGAACGGTGTGCTTTGGAAATAGAAGGGTCACAGGCACCTGGACGAGGAAATGGTATTCCTCCATAAGGGATGAGGAGCCCAACAGCCACAGATGCAAACCCAAAGCCTAAATTCCTATGTGCTCATGAAACCTCGCTTTGTTGTGTTCTTCCTGGAGACCTAATCTTTCCAAGATCTGGTCAGCTACGGCTTTGGGAAAGTCAGCCACCTGCAGCAGGTGACGGGCCGGCTCAGAGAAGGAGTGGAAAGAGACGCAGAGAGAACTGGGCATGGGGCAGGCAGCAGAGAGCCACAAGGAGATGGGAGAACACGAGTCTCCTCCTCCTGCTCCAGTAAAAGCCATTACTTCCCAAGAATTCTGAGAGCCACAGTTCCAGCAAATAAATAAATAGTTTTAAAGGATTTGCAAGAATTAGTGAACCAGAGCCAGGAGTACAATCAGTTTAGTTACCTAGGTAAAGAGGGAAATGAAATGGAAACCCCAGATGCCAGGAGCTAATGACAGCTCAGAACACTGCGAATCCCATCCAGGGAGGAGTCACAGCTGGGAGGATGTGAGGTTAGGAGGGAAGGGAGGAGGTGGGGGGGGGGAGGGAGGGAGGGAGGGAGGGAGAGAGAGAGAGAGAGAGAGAGAGAGAGAGAGAGAGAGAGAGAGAGAGAGAGAGAGAGAGAGCGCGTGCATGTGTGTAGAGACCCCTCCCTTCTCTGCCCACTCTGTGCCCTTCATGGTCTTCCAGGAGGAAGACCCTGGAAGAACCAGGTCTGCCCCTGGTTCTCTGGGCCCACCCCTCCTGCCCAACCTGGCCCGGGTCAGTTTAGGGCAACATGTCTGCCTCCTGCCATTTCAGGGGAGGTAAAAGCCCAAGAGTCATTTCTAGTTTTTCATATTTCTAACGATCTTTTAAAATTATACAATTAATCTCCACATCATTAGAGGAATATTAGAAAATCTTAATAGGCATGAAAGAAGAAAAGTGGAATTGTGCCCTCCAGGTGATCAGCCCCCCGCCGCAGGCCCTGGCACAGAGTCAGGGAGTCAGGTCTGCCTTAGGAGGCCTATGTCAGGCCTGGGGGTTGGGGGGACCATGCAACAGTTGGGAGTCAGCCCCTCATCCTGCCAAGGGTGGAACACTGCTTCGGTGCCCCTGTGTAGCAGGCACGGTGCCCAGCACACCCCCCTGCCCATCACACCGGTCGGCGAGTCCAGTCGTGCCCCAGCTTGTGAGGAGGCACCCGGCCTGGTCTCATGAGGTCCCAGAAAGGACCAACAGGTGGGCTGTACTGACACCCCCGTCCTCCCAACCCCCAGGTTGTGCCTGGTCTCCCTGCGTCCCAGGCCAATCCCTCCTCCTGGGTGTGTGATCTTTGCCTGCTGAATCCTGTCTTCCAGTTAGCCCGCGAGCTCAGGTAGGTGGAGCCGCCGCCTTTCCCTCCCCCGATATTCCCAGAGCCCTGTGCAGCCTCTGGCACTCACTGGGCTCCACGTGACGATCTACACGCCTGAGAACCCAGATGCAGGAAGGAGAGGCCTAACTGGGCACACGGCCCATGCTCTGGGGCCTTCTGGCTCAATTCTCCCTGCATGGGACTTTTCATGGGTCCCTACCATTTCAGCTGAGCTTCTGGCTTTACTGACACCCCTCTCTGCTTGGGTCCCTACCCACATGTATTTAACTTGACAGTCTGTTTTTCTTGGAAGCAGAACCTACCAGATTCTGTGATAATACCACGGCCCTGTTTTTACAAATCCAATGGACACAGTTACCCAAGAGTTGCTGTCCTGCGCTGGCGGGGCCAGGCCTGTGTACTCGGCTGCAGCCCTGGGTTCTGGGGGCCTCAGCTCTAAATGAGCTGGGCACCGGCCACTGTGCTCAGAGGCTGACTGGGGGTGGCAGGGCAGCCACACAGAGGGGGGACCATCCCCTACGTGAACACAAACGCTGAGAAGGACCAGTCTCCCCAACAGGCTGTGTCCAGCACGGGCCACGGGTGCTGCTCACGGGGTACCCAGCACTCAGGGAGCCCCCACTGTGTGCCGGGCCCTGTGCAGGGGGCAGAAGTGATGCAACAATCTGGCTTTCTGCCCTAGGGAGTCTTCTCTGCATGTACAGTTATCTACTCTGTGGGGCAGGACTGTGTGGAAGGGAAACGGAGGCTGCGTGGGAGCCTGGAAGAGGAGGGTGGCACCTAGGCTATTCCCTCTGCCAGGGAATTCCTTCGCCCTCGTTCAGAAAACATCTACCCATTCGGTAAGATCAGCTGCCACTCTGTGGTCCCATCACACTTGGCTCAGCACTCTGCTGAGTCTGTTTACTTCTCTCTGGACCAGGGGTGGCTCATGGACAGGGACTCCCAGCACTGAGCACCCAGCAGGGGCAGAGAGGTGTCTGCTGGCTGAGTGAATGACCCTGACCAAATGGGAAGAGAGACGCCTTCCTGGCCTGGGGGCACTGAGATGCTGAAGCCTGGCCGCGTGGGGGTCGTCATCAGCTGAGTCTGCGGTCCCCTGTGGTCACACAGGACCAGGTCCTCCTAGACTCCACAGCCCCCGGCCCAGGGATGAGGAAGGTGCTGCTCGGCCCACCATGGGCCACAGCCTTCCTGCTCAGCTCAGCCTCGGTGATGAATAACGCTGCCCCTGCTGTGCCACTTCCGGGCTCTCTGGGCTCCCACACTCTGCTGTGGAGGCCCAGGCTGGCTCCCTCTCGGGGTGGGTGCTGCCTCTGGAGGGTGGAGGTGAGGGGAAGGGACTGAGGGTGGCCCTGCGGGGCCTTGATGGAGCAGCAGTGGGGACCATGCACCTCTGAGGGTCTGGGTGAGTGGGGGCTGCAGCCAGGCCTGGCTGGCCTGGGGGATCAGGAGGGTCTGCAAACCAAGCTCTGGGGCTCCCTGAGGTTCCAGGAAGAACCCCGCCTGTCCCGGCAAAGGTGGATCCAGGAGAGGAGTGGGCTTGGCCACCTCGGCTGCCACCAGAAGCTGCCCCCTCAGCTCCTATCTGTTCCCCTCTGCCCCTGGAACTTCTGAAACCACTTCCCTCCTCCCTGGACTTCTGCAGGCCGAGGTATGACTGTTCTGTCTCCCGTTAGCAAGGTCTGCAACATTGCTCTGAGCAGCATCCTCCAATGTGGTGCACCTGTTCGACAGGGGTGCAAAGGTAGGTGCTGGGGTGGGGGCAGTCATGGACTTGCTCCCCACTCCGAAAAGCTCTCACTCCTCAGGAAAGCTCTCAAAAGCAGAGCCTGCATCTGACTAGTCTCTGCACCCCAGTGCCTGGCATAGCTTCTGGCCTCAGGTAGGTTTCAGGTAAGGTCTGAATGAGTGATTGAGGGAAACAGGTGCTGGCTTGGAGAAGATGCTGTGGGATAGACGGCACTGAGCTGGGTCTTGAATGGACAGGGTTTGAGCCACCAGCCATGCAGGAAGGGCTATCCACAAGCAGAGACTCAAGGTAGGGAAGCACAGAGTGACCAGGGATGCTACAGTTGGGCCAGCTGGGTGCGGGACGATGGAGGGAAGACGTCAAACAGGGAGGAGGAGAAAAAAATAACGCAGAGAGGGGCAGGACCGTGGCAACAACTGAACTGAAGTGCTTTAGGCATTTCCAGAAATCCAGTGTTCTTCTTCCCTCGGCAGCGCCTACCAGGGAAAGCAAAAGCCTGCAAGCCTCAGTGCCTGGCCCGCTCCTGGCCTGGAAAGAGGAACAGAGGGAGGACGGCGGGGCTGGGTGGTCTCCCGATCACAAGCATACATTTCCCAGGCATCTGGGCAGTGATGGAACTGTCAACCTGGAAGTCACCTCGAAGGAGAAATGACCGTGTGCCTCAGATAGAACAGACCCCGGGCCCCAGGGTGGAGCACGCACTATCCATGAACTCAGGGTCCTAGGGGTGGAGTCCAGGGCCCTGGGTGGCAGGGCCAGGAGGAGCAGCCGGGTCTACACAGGATGGCACCGTGCAGTGGTGGTGACGCTGAGCAGGGCCTGGTGAGCACTTGCTGGGTGATCACCACGTGCTGGCGCTGGCACTGGCACTTCACAGTCCTCATTGCTTTTGAGTTTTGGGAGAGGTGCAGTGAGGTGACCTGCCCAGAGGAGGGAGGCTGATCTGATCTGACATCTGCCATAGGCCTGTCCTGTCTCACATTGGTTCCTGGCCTGTGTACTGGGCTCACCTGGAGGCTTTAAAAACATACTGAGGCTCAGGCTTCACCCCACAAGTTTCTGATTCAAGAGTATGTTTTTGCCTTTTTGTTCTCACTCCCAAAGTGTCCGGATCTGTGCTCAGAGCGCAAAGAAATTTACTGAAAAAAATAAAATTAAGGAACGACAGCTCAAAGAGCCAGCAATTTATGCAAATGAATGCAAATAAATACACACTTCCATACATATGTTTATGCAAATATTCTTGTGGTCCTTGCAAATCACTCACCCGCCTGCAAGCAGCCACCTATGAATTCTTGGTGAGAACCCCGGGCAGAGTGCCCGGGTTAATGACAGGTGGTATCACGACCTCCCAGAACAGACATCTCTATTAGCAAACTCATCCCAGAAGTCCCCCAGGGAACCTCACTGAGCCTGACTCTGCCCACCACAGCCCCCTCCCCTACTCACTCAGGACTCAGGGCTCTCTCAAGGCCACTGGCCAGGGAGGGATTGGGAGCAACTGCCCAGTAGGCACTCCAAGGCCACCAGGGCTGGGCACAGAGAGAAGGGCCCTGGCAACTGCCAGGTGCCTTATAGCTGCTGGGAGGACAGCTGTGACCACAGAGGGTCGGGCTGCCTTTACCTCTGTGCCAGTCTGGGTGGGCCAGCCTGTGGCTGAGCACTTGATCTTGGGTGCTCCACATGTGCTGTCTGCCTGACCACACCCTACAGCTCACTTTCATAAAGCAGGAGGCACTGGACTTCAGAAGGAAACTCGCTCAGTCACGATCAGAGGTGAGTGCCCCATGCACATTTCCTCAATGGACTCTCCTTGCATATCCAGCCCTCATTTGCAACCCCTTCTGCCGGGCTTTGCGGAACAGTCATGGTCTCCATAACTTCAAGGCACCCTTGCTTTGTTGCCTCCAGGATAAGCAACTTCTGCAACCTGCTGGCTTTTGGCCTTGGTCCCCGAGAAAGACTGAGAGGAACTGCTCTCTTCCCACAGGTCACCGCACACTATAGTGTCCTCCCCAAGCCGAGGCTGGGCACACTGCCCTAGTTGCTGCCTGGGGTGGAGGGAGCTTGGCAAGGGGGTTGGGATGTGGCTCTGAAGATCCACCCGAGACCCCTGCCCTGGTTTTGGGGATCCTCGCTCAGCTTGTCTTAGGCGGCCTTGGAAAAGGCACACGCAACTTGTGATTTCTCTAGTTGCTGCATCTGGGATGTGGATGCCGTCATCATTTGGGAGGCTTTGGGGAGCTCAAATATGAGCCCCCTGAGGGCAGGGAGTTTGGTTTGTTGTGCAGGGTAGGTGCTCAGTACATTTTTGTTGACTGATGCATAGAATGAGTTTTTCCTCCACAACACCTATGCCTCAATATTTTCTCCAGTTGTCCTTGTGACTTTACAACTTGGGGTGAGGTGTGGGCCTGTCCCACCAAGGTACTCATCTCTAAGAGGGCAAGAATGGACAGTGTCCCCCATGGACCCAGCATACAGCTCATATTTGGAAAAGGTTCTTGATATGGTTTGGATATTTGTCCCCTCCAAATCTCATGTGGAAATGTGTTGGCGGTGGGGCCTGGTGGGAGGTGTCTGGGTTATGGGTGCGGACCCCTGGTGAATAGCTTGGTGCAGCTCTCACGGTCATGAGAGGCCTCTCCGTCTATTAGCTCATGCTAGGCCTGGTTGTTTAAAGAAGCATGGTGCCCCTTCCCTCTCTCTTCTGTCTGCCCTCACCTTGTGATGCCTGCTCCCCTCTGCTCTCCACCATGAGTGGAAGCTGCCTGAGGCCTCCAAAGAAGCAGATGCTGGTGCCATGCTTCCCGTACAGCCTGCAGAACCGTGAGCCAAATCAACCTCTTTTCTTTATAAATTACCCAGCCTTAGGTCTTCCTTTAGAGCAATGCAAAATGGACCAGGACAGTTCCCTAGTTGAAAAGGTAAGCTCATTTAAGCATGGGTCTCACTTTTGGCAGGGGTACTGGTGGTAGGGAGATGGCAGAGGGGTGTCAAACCCTTCAGGCCATGATGGAATTTGAATGACTAGTGTCCCATTGGGCACCAGAAGTCAGTTCAGGTATGATTCTGTCTCACCAAAGGCCTGTGACAGCAACTTTTCAAGCATAGAAATCTCTGGGCCCCTGGAGACAACACATCCCTCCAAGCCCTGCGCCCCTGGTGGCAATCCAGCCCTTCAAGCTGTAACACAAGGTGGATTCCAGTCCAGTGGAGAGAAATCTGCCATGTGGTGTCAGGATACACAGGCTGGCCTCACTGTCCTCACTCCTAGTTCTTGTTGGTCCAACTTTTCAGGAAGAAAAAGAGCTCTCACACTCAGAACATTCTCCATCTGAGTACCAGCGGCTCTAGCTCAGCCACCAGCCACCCGAGTCACCACCCAGGCACGTGAGAGAGGCCCAGGCCGTGGAGAGCACTATCTCTGTGCACTTTTAAAGGGCAATTTTATTCTTTAATTACCTCAGGCTGGCCCTTCACCTCCTCAGCTTTTCTAGGCTGTTTGGGAGATTCCCTATGGCTCCCGTCACTCTGTGGTTGTGGGAAAAGGGACAAAGGAGATAAAGCATCTCCTTTGGAGGGGAAGGGGAGTGATTGGCCCCGGAGCCTCCTGGCTGGTTGGTGGTTGGCCCTGCCAATGAGTCTGGGGTCTGTCCCATGGCAGGCTGCTGTCTTGAAGGACTGGCCCTCACCCACATGCCAGCCCTGGGCACAGCCGTGGGTGCTGCCCTCCTCTTTGTGGAAAACTGGCTGGAAGGGGAGAGGTGCAGGGAGGGCCCACTGGATACAGGTTTATGGTCAACTGGACTCATCAAACTGATGGCAAACAAACCCAAGACTGTTAGGAAACATCTATCCCCGCCTCCTGGCCCTGGGTAAACATGTTCTGTGCGGTGATCTTGCTCAGGGTCACCCAGGATCTAGAGTTGAGACCCCAGGCCAGTCCAAAGCCCAGAATCCAGAGACAGGAACAAACTCAGAATTTACATCCACAGCTCAGAGCTTAAAATTTAGAACCCAAAGCCCCAGCCAGAGCCCAATGTTTGACATAGTTCAACCAGAGGCTAATGTCGACCTAAAATCCTGGCACTGAGACACCTGGACAGAGTCCCAAGAACCCTCCCTGCCCCAGTGTGCTGGAAAGTTCCCTTTGCTGCCTTGAGCCATCTGATTGGCACCTGACAGTGTGCAGTGTATTAATCATGGTCAGGGCTTTTCAACATGCAATAAAAAGCTTTTTAAAACGTTCCGATGGGAGGTGATTAACTCTATTAAGTGGCATTACGGATCTTCCTATCTGTTGCTTTCATAAACATAGTTGTAGGCGCAATGTTTTATTATGGGCATAAAAATGTCCCGCATTACAATGCATAAGCGCATATTGATGTTATATTTCTGTAGTGTGCCAGGCGCCCCAGTCCCCAACCACTCGGAAAAGAAACTACACGTCTTAATAATTTATGTTCCAAGTTTTAACCAGGATTATCAATGGCAGCTTTTGAGCTTTCTCTTTTGGCAACACAATAGATCATAGTAAAAATGCACCGACAAGCGATGTGTCCGTTTGATTTTTTCCACCTGAATCAGCAGCCCAAACTCCAGACACAGCAGTTTAGGGCAACCAGCACACTGAAGAATTTAAGTCTAAGCATTTAATCTGTTCTTTCCATAAATTTCTGCTGCTTGTGCTTTATAATGATTCTACCAGAGGAAGTTTATTTATATCGCAGATTTTCAGCATCAGCACATTGAGAACACAACGGCAATCGCTCAGTCAATAGCTTACAGCCATGTATAATATCACTCCGGAAATCAAAAGCCCATTTGGAGAAAAGAAGGCTCAGATTAAAGTCACTTTAAGACATCAATAACTTGGAACTGGCTGAAGAGAAGTTATAAATATCCAGGGTACGCATATGCAAATAGGCGCTCGCAGACGCGCCACCTCCGCGGGCCCGGGAACCTCCCGGTGGTCCCCTCCCCGGCACACGTGACGGCGGAGCCGCGGGGCGGCCCGAGTGGACGCGTCACCACCTCCTTCTCCTGCCGGGCACAGGCAACCCCGCCCCAGCCCGCGGGGACCCAAGGGCTCTAGGGCTGGGGCGTAAGGCAGGCGAGGAGGGGACCCCTACCTGGAAACCCCAATAAACTCAAGATAAGCACACTTCTGGGTTGCTTGCTACTGGGCCAAAGGGGCGCTTTCATGACACCCGCCTCGTGCCTGCAACCATCTATCTCACTCCATAGCATTCGTCCTCAGCTGCGGGGTTTGGGGGCTGGGAGTAGCGAGGAGCAGCGAGGAGCAGGGCGCGGTAGGGGAAGCCCAGCACTTTGAAACGCCTCCTCCCACCTGCCACCCTCTCGGAGACCGCTGATGAGATCCACTCTTGGAATCCTCAGGGCAGCTCTATGACAGATTGCCCCCATTGTACAGGCCAGGAAAATGAGGCGCAGAGAGTCACTGGTCCCAGGCCACACAGCGAGTGAGTGGCAGAGTGGAGATTTGAATCCGGTTCTGCTTAATTCAAAGCCTTGCATTTACGGCTTTCAACCCACCGCTGTGTTTCATTGCTTCCTGCTCACCCTTCCCCAGGCAGTCAGGCTCGGGGCCCAGGAAGATTTAGGGGTTCCCTGGGAAGGTAAAGCCCAAGTCCAAGGAGCACCATAGACAGTCTGTAGGTGGGCCCAGGCTGGGGAGAGGTGGCTCGGGAGGTGAGCTGGGTGGGACCCCTGGGAGGGGCAGACCCCTTGGAGGAGCCAAGGCAAAACCCAGGGGGATCTGGAAGTGGGGGCCGGGCAGGGCTCTCTCCTCAGGTGGTAAGGGGGCCTCTTGCCTTTGGGGAGGGAGGGAAGGCCAGAAGCGCCCACCAGGAGGGGCTGGAACCCCAGGAGGGGCTGGTGAACTCAACCGCCAGAGAGCAGAAGCTGCAGTCCTAGAAACTGTCAAGGCCTCGCATGGCCAAAGGCTTATCTTGGCCAAAGCCCCCACCATCTATTGATCAACAAACAACAAATGCCTCCAGGAGAAAGAGGAACACTTGATCACTGCTCAGAACACGACGTGGCCCTGCACAGAGCAAAGATCCATCAAAAAGGGAATTTCCTATGGTTGGTGGGCGATAGTAAGACAGTAGGGTTAAATCCTACAAAAATATCTAGACGAGACGATGTGAGAGGGCAGAAAAACTGAGATGAAGTTTGTGTTAAGACCATTGAAGCTGATCACTGTAAGTCAAAATTTTTCAGCATTACTTTTGCTGAAAGACCCCCTAGGAGCCCAGAGAGCCCCCTCTGCACCCTTGCTGGAGCTGCCCCATCCTCCTGGGTTCTACCCTCCCTGCTCTGATGCCTACGGAGCACCTGGAGCTTGTGCTTCAGTACTGTGGGCAGCACTCATCCTTTCAGCTGGAGCTATTCATTCACTCATACACTCAAAAAGTGTTTACTGAGCATCTACCATGTGCCAAGCGCTGGATACAGCAACTGGCTGTCCCCTTGGAGCATGGATTCTAGAGGATACCTGGCGACCTGCCCAGGGTCTCCTCCTATACAAGGGCAGGCACCGTTTGGCTGGCTCAGGAGTGCAGGGCAGCCATAGAGAGATGTTCTCGAGCATGCATTTGGGGGCAGTTGGCTCCAGAGCTCCCAGCAAATAGCTTTTCAGGGCCTCAAGCCTCAGTGACTCATCATCTCTCTTCCCCTCTTCCCAGTGGGCCTGGGGGTTGCTCATGGGTTTGGAGATTCTTCCCAGGACAAGTGCCCAGGGGCACTGTGGGGGCACCTCTACTCGGCCACGAGTAAAGCCATGTCCTTCCAGATAACTGACCTGGTCCCAGGAGCAGGATTACATACTCTTGTTCCCTCTGCCACTGCCCATGCCAGGAGGGGTTCGGGCCCAGCCCCAGGTGCAGCTCAGCAGGGCAGGGGCCTGGCCCTGTGACGAACGCAGGGGGAGGCTATGCCAGGTGTGCAGATGCGGTCTGTCTGGGGGTGGGGATACAGCTGGCGCCTTGTCAGGAGCCTGGGACCTTCTGAGGTTGGGCTTCCCTCCTGTTAAAACATTTTTCATGGTTTTTTTTTTTTTTTTAGACAGGGTCTTGATCTGTCACCCAGACTGGAGTGCAGTGGTGAGATCATAGCTCACTGTAACCTCAAACTCCTCGGCTCAGGCAATACTTCCACTTCAGCTTCCCAAATAGCTGGGACTACAAGTGCATGCCACCATACCCAGCTAAATGTTTAAGTTTTTTGTAGAGATGGGGTCTTGCCATGTTTCCCAGGCTGCTCTTAAACTCCTGGCTTCAAGTGATCCTCCCACCTCAGCCTCCCAAAGTGCTGGGATGACAGGTGTGAGACACAATGCCTGGCTTCTCTCTCTCTCTCTCTTTTTTTTTCTGAAACAGAGTTTTGTTCTTGTTGCCCAGGCTGCAGTGCAATGGCTCGATTTCAGCTCACTGCAACCTCTACCTCCCGGGTTCAAGTGATTCTCCTGCCTCAGCCTCCCAAGTAGCTGGGATTACAGGCGCCTGCCACCACGCCTGGCTGACTTTTTTTTTGTATTTTTAGTAGAGATGGGGTTTCACCATGGTGGCCAGGCTGACCTTGAACTCCTGATCTCAGGTGATCCACCCACCTTGGCCTCCCAAAGTGCTGGGATTACAGGTGTGAGCCACTGTGCCCGGCCAGCTTCTTGCCTTCTTACTGACCTGGGAAGAGGCTGGGGAACCCCTGGAGCTTCCATGTGGGCCCCAACTGCCACCTGCCACAGGGGAGGGGCTGGACTCCCAGAAGGCTGGAGCCTGGTGAGCTGGGGGCTGTGGGGACAGTTATCTGTGCCCCTTGTCCCTTTTTGGCTATGAGAACCAACTCTTGTTGGGACAGAGTGTTCCCCTTCCTGGAATTCTCCTGCCTCCTCAGGCCTCTCTGGCGGGGCTTGAACACCTGTTTTTGGCAGCTCCTCATGTGGAAGCTCTGGTTTCCATTTGGCAGCTGCAGGGGGTCCAGGGATGGTGGCTGGGAACCCTGATAAGCCCACACTTGACTTTCCCAGGGAGGGCAAGCTGCCTTGGCTCTGGTGAGAGCACCTGTGTAAATCAGAAGAGACAGGCTGAGGGGGAAGCAACAGGGAGCTGAGGTGACCTAAGCCACCTTACGTAAAGCCAGGTGTGATGTCAGCATACTGTCTTTCAGTTGGTGAGGCAGGGGGTGGTCCATGCCTGCCTGGTCTCTGGCCCAGGCCATGACCCCAAGACCCTCCACCTTGGAGAGAAGAGTGAGTCACAGAGAAGAGACCTGTCTGCCCTAGGCTGGCACTTGGGCCTGGTGGCTTCCACATGGTGTGGGGGTCCAGGGAAGTTTTCTGGAGGAGGAACAGGCTAAAGATAGGTCTAGATAGGGGTGGTGTGAGGGGCACTGTGAGCAGGTGCAGTGCTGTGGTGCACAGGTGGCCTGAGCAACAGGTGAGGGGCTTAGTGAGAAAGGAGGACCCCTGAAGGGCTCCAAGCAGGGGAGGGCCTGGCCAGGTGGTGCGTTAGGAAGATTGCTCTGACCATGGAGGCTGGAGAAGATGAGGAGGCAGCACGCCACCCAGGGAACCCTGAGGGGTGGGAGGGAGAACTGAGACCACAGAGGCTGGCCAGGCCTGGAGGAGGGCCTGGCTGCAGGAGGCCCTGGGGAGGAAGCCTGGTGGGCTGGATGATCTCATGGGGAGGCTCAGAGCTCTTTAGCCCTGGGCACAGTTGGGTATGAGTGAGGGCACCTCCTCTGATCTGGGACCAGCTGCTCATTTTCCAAATGGGGAAACAGGTTCAATGGTGGGGGAAGCGGGAGCTGAACTGAGCCGAAGCCAGGCCCCTCCTCTGTCCTCACGCTGGACACGCACCTGCCAAGCACTCACATAGCCAGATCCGGGACTCGGCGCTGAGAATGGAAGTGAAGATGAGGTTGAGGACAAGGCTCTGGGGCTGAGGACCCTGCTGACACTCAACTGCCTGGTGTCCACCCACTGACCCACTGGGTAAGCATGGGAAAGTTACTTCACATTTCTGAACCGAAGTTTCCTCCTCTGTAAACGGAGGTCATGAACATACCTACTTCAGAGTTGTAAGAATTAAATGGGTCAACATATGCAACATGCTAGAAGAGTGTCTGGAAGGTAATAAGCTCAGTAAGTCCCCCAGCGCCGCTGCGGACGGGTTGCTCAAGTTGCACACTGCACAACTCCAGGGGGTACCATTCAGCTCCCGCACATCCTAGGTTTCCTTCGTTATGACAATTTTCTGGTAGGTGGCAGCAAGGGTCCTAGAAAAGGGTACCTTTTTACATTTCATCCACAGTTGCTAAATCGGTCAGCAGCGGGGGTGTTCTAAAGTCACTCACAGTTGAGTGGGGGAGACAGACATGAAAATAGACCATCAAGATGCTGGGTGGTGGGGAGAGTGAGTGAAGGCTGTGCTGCGCTGGGGTGAGCTGAGGAGAGGCTTACTCTTCCACGCTGAGGCTGGGGCCTCCGAATTCTGACCAGAAAACCGGGATGTCACAGATACTCTGGGCCTCACGGGTCTCTCCTGAGGAGACCTGGTTCCCAGGCCCTCTGACCGGCCCAGCAATTTGAGCGGCGCAAGGCAGTGAGGCTGTGGCTTCAGCTCCCAGAGGCCAAAGTCCCCTTTCCTCTGCGTCAGCATGTCAGTGTGAGTTCCTCTGCCTCTGCACTCAATTCCGCTGTGGGAAAGGTGGGCGGACACAAACTCAACAACCGGAAGGCCTCTTGGCAGCGGCGGCCCCTGACTGGCTCATCATTCACCTCCCATGACAGACAACGAGATGGCCCCTCATGGACGGCCACCTCCCCTTCCCCTCCAGACTGCTTCGGCCCAGAAGAACGGAGCCTCATGCCTCTGGGCAGAGGAGCCACGGCCAGTGTCAAGGGGACGTGGGGCCTGTGCTGAGCAGCTGGGGGGTGCTTCTGTGAGCCTTGTGGGGAGCCCGAATGAGGCTGCCTGCCCTCTAATCTGCTGCCCCCCTCTAATCAGCAATTGGTGAGGCCAGATCTTGTCACCCTGTCAGCCCCAGACTTAGCAGCCTGTGCTGACGGGGGCATCTTCCCCACCCTGGTGTCCAGGGCTCAGGGGGTTTTCCTCACAAGCCCATGACGCTCAGGCAGGGCTTCGGCTCTGGTGGCACAGGCTGGGAGCTCCGCAAGGTGGAGGCCCCCACCCTGGAGCTGGCCTTGGTGGAGGAGGGTGGGACCCTTGAAGGGTGTGAGTAGGGTGGGGGAGGACAATGGGGAGGAGGGTAGAGGAAGGATGGGAAGAGGAGGAGGAGTGGGCAGGAGAGGGAGGAGGGAGGAGGGCCAAGCATGGAGAAGGGACAGAGAAAGGGAGCTCACAGGCTGTTCTGGGTGCCATGGAGCTTGAGGGGCTGAGACGCACAGCCAGCTGGCTCCACGAACTGCCCCGTGGCTCCGCAAAGCCCATTGGCCTCAGAGGCCTGGACCACCCCTAAGGGCTTCTGTCAGGCAGCTGAGAGGCCAGGCCAAAGCATCCACCTTCAGCCTTCCTGCTCCTGCTCCTGCCAGAGCCTCAGGAGCCCGGAAGGCTCAGCAAATACATCCCGGTGACCAACCAGCCTTCTTAGGCGAGGCCGGTCCCCCACTCCCGAGGCACAGCTCTCAGTGCTCTGGGGGAGCACTGGGCCCAGGGGGTGAGGAGATGCCAGCCAAAACTCTCTCAGGGAGTCCCAACCTCCCTCCCAGAGAGGGCCAGTGAATTCTTTCTGCTCTGCTGGGCTCCTTCAAAGCTTGATATCAGCACATGGTTAATCTTCCTTCCATTCAGAAATGCAGAGTAATTTGCCCGAATGGGGATTTCTGCATATTTATACTAATGTCTGTGTTTAAAGCTTATGAGACAGGGAATTGCTGAGAGATGTCCATTAGCAATATATACAGACTGCAATTATTTCTTTATGGTGTGTGGTTTGACTGCAGAATACTTTATTTCAATAGAAGTAGTGGGCTTTGCCTACTGTGTTTTCTTATGTGCCCAAATAAATCAATAAGAACAGTAAAGAAGTGAAAAGAGGCAAGAATAAAAGGACTGTGACCTTTTAGGATTCTGAGAGCCTTGAATACGCTACATCACGAACTGCCTTCGTCCTCAGAATCTAAATGCATGTGCCCGGGTTGGGGGAATTCCGTACATTTAAGGATGCCACTGAAAATTTGCAAACCTTCCTCAGGAAGCTCTCAAATTCATTCGGCCCAGGAAGAGCTGGCAGGGGTGCCTTGTCAGAGACAAGCAGGAAAAGGGAGTAAGGGGTGTCCTCAGAGGACCCCACTTCTGGCCTCTACTCCCCAAACCCCCATTTCCACCCTAGGACAGAAGCAGGTTTTGATCTGAAACAAAGTAAGCCCTAAGACTAGAGGTTCACAGACCAAAGATTTCTGGAATGTGCATGGATGATGGTAGAAACCAGTTTTTTTTTTTTTTTTTTTTCCTGTTGGGGACGAGGGGAGGGGAAGGAAACAGGACTGTTCCAAACCGATGAAACACCGTGCAGGCGGGGAGGGCCAAGCCCTTCTTAGGGAGTTTCAGTCTGGAAGATGCTCAGCCTGGGAGATGCCGGCCAGGAAGCCTGGGAAATTCCTCCCCTCTGCAGGCCCCACCCCGTGCTAATCCTGGCTCCACCTCACCTCCGCCCAGCTTCTCCTGGACTCACATGACTTTTCTATATTGGTGCCCAGGGGCTTAAGGCAGATGAGTCTTAAGCGGGCATCACAGACAGACCGGACACCTGTGCAGTCTGGAAGAACTTCTCAGCTCTCAGCCACGGGAAGGCGATCACTCAGCCTAAGGTGTTCCCAAGAGGCAGAACTGCCCTAAGGGGCCTTGCAGATAAGAATGGCCCCAGAAGTCGGGTGAAGGAACGCACATGGGTGATGCAAACATGATATCTGACTCTGCGTGGCAGCAAGCTGTTGCTGACATTTCTCATGCCTGCTCCTGGGAGCTGCAGTGCCTCACAGCCCTTCCCCTTCGCCTTCCCTCACATCCCTCGGTCCTGCCAGTTGGTTCTCTGCTCTGGGGTCTCTGCTCTGCTGGAATATCTGGGCAGCATCATTGGCGCACAGCCCACCTCCTCCGGGCCAGCATCTCCCATCGCATGGCCTCCTCAAAGCTGGCTTTCATCTGCCGGCGACGGTCCCCTTGGCGGGTAGGCACTATTCTTTTCCGGCCCCAAAATAGTTCCCTGAAGTCGACGCTGACTTCTCACTGCCTTCTTGCACAGAAATCTCTTCCAAGAGGCGCTGGGGTCCAGAAGAGGGACAGATGGTCCCTTTCTTTTTATAACACGGCCAGTCTTTTGAAGTGAAGAGCTATAAACACAAGTTTTGTCTTCAGCAGATGTTCTGTGGGCAAAACAAGTGCCACTTTGTGCTCTTAAGCAACTGCGAGTGGTGGTAACTGGGAGGAGTCTGAGACTGAGCAGAGCTTCGGTGCATCTTTGGGGGTCCAGGGGATGCCGCGTGATGATTCCCGTTCAGGCTGCAGTCAGATCTGCTCAGTCACTGACTGAGCTCACTGACTGCACTCACTCTGCTCAGTCAGTTCCAGGTCTACACACCTCCTGGAAACCATGTCTGCTTACCCTACTGGAGCCCGGGGACCACCCTGCACCAGTTCCACCTGTGCAGTGGCCATTTTTGAAGTGCTGGCAGTCTAGCTGTATTCTTGTGCATCTCTGCTAACTGATCCTGAGGTAGGGGCTAATGGCTGAGGGCTGGCTGGATGCGCTTCCAGAGGCCCATGGATCATCGGTATCACTTTCTTCCTGGAGCTATTTATGCCGATTTGGGGAATTTGCTAAGAACAAGAATGGCTGGCCAGGCATGACATCTGTGGAGCTCCCAAGGAGCCGTAGGCCATGCTAGATGTCAGCAGGAAGACAGTTCCTATAGCTCTGTGCTGGTGGCTCCTCATTCCTCGGTGACAGAAACACTAAATGGATGTACTGCTGTGTGGTAGATTTCAAGAATCTAATTCATTTTAAAGGGCATAAGCTCAATTAATAGGCCTCATCAACTTCAAAGATGTATCATCTTTGCACGGAATTGGCTCCTTCATAGGATGACTGGCTCCATTAACTTTATTGCATTGGCGATGCTCTGATTAAGGTGTGGGAGACGCAGCAACAGGAAGGACTCCCCAGGGCCGCCTGACTCCCAAGCTCCAGTGGCTTTGGTGGTGGCCAGTGCTCTGTCTGCAGCTTCCTCAAATGGCCCAATGCCCCTTGTGTTACTTTGGGAATTCCATCTACCTACCCACCCATCCATCCACCCAGCCATCCCAACAACGGTTTTGGAGATGAGGAAAGAGCCCAAGAATCACCAGCTTATACAGAGAAGTATCAGCCAGGAGACTGCAGGAGACACGAAACAGCCACTTGTGGGACTTGCCCGTCCTTAGCCCAGACATGCCTAGTGACCACACAGGCTACAACAGCAAGCCCCAAGGTGTGGTGTGGCGGAAAGGGTATGGGCACTGGAGGCAGGCAGTCTTGAGAATGACTCTCACGTTACCAGCTATACCTGGGCAGGGTCTTAAGCCAGGCCTTGGTTTTCCATCCATGACTCTGCCTCTCAGGGCAGATGCAAGGAATACATAAATACGGGGTGAATATACAATGAATATAAAGTGGTAGGCACATACAAAACATCCACCCCCCCCCCCCAACCTCTGTTCCCTTCTGGAAGAGAAGGCTGCATCTCCCAGCCCTGCCCACCGGCTTCCCTGGAATGGCACTCCCGACCCCAGCCCAAGACCAACAGCAGGGCCAGCTTCAAATCCTCAGGCGGCACCATTACTACAAAGACCCAGGGGGAGGCCACACATCCACATCTCTGCTTTCTGGGAGAGGAATCTTGAAGGTAATGAATATCTCCATATAAAAGAAAGACTGAAAATATAGAAATTATTTTTGGATCAATCAATTCCTGAAACCTGCCTGTTCACATGAGCAGATGGATTAGGAGCCTTCAGAATCACCATGGCAATTCCTAAACTGAGGGGCGTGTGAGGTCTGCAGCAACAGGTTCTATTTGGGGTTTGAAAAGAAAGCAAGGAAAGCCGGGGATGCTAACTGGGCCAGGTTCTGGCTCTCGAAGGTGCTCTGGACTCCACTGGAGAAACATAGCTGACTAGGTGTTCAGGCTCCCAGGAAGGAGCTGGGTGATTTAGTTTTTTTTTTTAAATTTATTTTTTGAGACAGAGTCTCACTCTGTCACCCAGGCCAGAGTGCAGTGGTGCGATCTTGGCTCACTGCAACCTCTACCTCCTGGGTTCAAGCGATTCTCGTGCCTCAGCCTCCCAGGCAGCTGGGATTACAGGAACCCATCACCACACCCGGCTAATTTTTGTATTTTTAGTAGAGATGGGGTTTTGCCATGTTGGCCAGGCTGGTCTTGAACTCCTGACCTCAGGTGATCTACCCGCCTCAGCCTCCCAAAGTGCTGGGATTATAGGTTGTGAGCCACCGTGCCTGGCCGAAGCTGGGCAATTTAACCAGGATATAAGAGTCGTTTTTGAAAACCACTGTCACCACAAAAAACACTCATCTGATATTTGTAGAGACCTGGAGGGTGGAAATCTGCCCAGGAGAGTTTGCCAAGCAGGAATTCCAGAGAAGCCCCTGACCATGGGAAGTGATGGGGTGGGGGCTCCCATATTCTCGAGTCAGAGTTTGCCCTTGTCACCTTTTCCTCTCCTTTTGGGATGATGTCTCCTCCCTCATCAAATCATCCTCTGTGGCCCTGGCTGACCTTGCCTGTGTGCGTCATGTATGACTCGGCCCCTGTGAGTGGTGCGTGTCTTGTCCCTGTTCTTCCTCCCATTCATTCCTTGTGGAGCTGCCACTGAGTACAGAGGGCTCCCGGTGGGATGTGCTGCTCTGATCCCAGAGGCTGGCAGCGTGCACCACATGGGCAAGCTTGGAGAGGCTTAAGAGCTGGCCCAGTGCGGCCCATGCAGATGCTGGGCTTGTCCCTGTAGAGTTCTTGGTCTGTGGGAGGAAAGAAGAGGTCTCAGATGGACAACTCCTAGCAGCAAATGAAGCAATTCCACAGGGCACCATGGAATAGGGGTGGTTTCACAGGGAGCTTTCTAGTGACAGTTTCTGGGGGAAATGTGATAGCTAGGTGATACCTCTGAGCCTCAGTTTCCCCACCTGTAAAGTGAGGTTTTCCTGGCTGACTGTAGGTAGCATCCTACTCTGACATTCACTATGGTGGTAAACGAGGGAGGCAGAAGGGTTTGAACGGAGCAGACGGGTTGCTGCTCGGGAGTAAATTCCCATCAGCAGAGAGGAAGGCGGTGAGTTGCTTCAGCGTGCACGGCTGGGGCATGGGGGTAGGGTAGGTGGGCTGAGACACACCTACCTCCTAGACTTCAAAAGGAAATAATTTAAAAATTCAGAAAGTTCGCTTGCTCCCAAGTTAGGGGCAAAAAGCTGCTGGAATGAAGGTGGGGCTGGGGGTGTCTACAAAAAGGAATGACCAACAATCTCGATCCTGATAAAAAGGAGGAGGTGGGGACACCAAAGAAATCAGCCGAGTGGACAGCAGGACTCTGGAGACAATTTTTTCTCTTTTCGCTTCATTTGGAAGTTTAAGTGTATATTCATATATCTCTGCGTGTATAAACGTGTGTTTTAACCAAATAAGCCACAATTATTATAGAAAAGTTAGAATATCTGCAGTGTGATGCTCAAGACCAAGGAGGTGACAGTCCGTCTCCCTGGGCCACCTTGCCTGTCACCTGGTATCCCTTTAAGAGGCACTTGACAGGCTGGAGCATGACCAGGGAGGACATGCACATGGTAAAGGGAATCTTCACAGGATGAGCAGCTGAGGCCACTGGAGATCTTTGGTTTGGAGAAAAGGAAATTCTGCCATCCTCCAAAAGCTGAAGGGCTGTCATGTAGAACAGGGACCAGCTTTGCTCTGGATGGCTCCAGAGGGCAGGGCCATGGAAGTTACACGAAGAGACAGCTCTTAACCATTTAACAGGACAAACTGTCTAGCGATCGGTGGTTCCTGCTTAGTTCCCAGTGGTGACGGTAGGTTCCCTCCCAGCATGAAAGTTCTATGGAAAAACAATTAACCCCAAGTATGGATGATGCTAATCATGGGAAATATATCCAATGCTTAGTTAACAAAGCAGAGGGAGCAGCCTGTAGCTAAACCAGGATAAAAATGGCAAAAGTGCATTTATGAAAATGTTCAAGCGAATCACTGAAAACACCCACAGGTAGAAGGCAGACATTGTAACTACATGGGAACTGTGCCTTGTGAGGGGCTACCCTTTCCATTTGCCAACTAGACAGACTTGTAGACTGTTACGGACTGAAATGTGTCCCCTCCTACCCCAAATTCCTGTGTTGAAGCCCTAATCCCCAATGTGATTGTATCTGGAGAAAGGGCCTTTAAAGAGGAAATTAAGGTTAAATGAGGTCATAGGGTGGGTCCCTAACCCAGTCGGACTGCTGTCCTTCTAAGAAGAGGAAGAGACACCAGGAGTGTTCATGCACAGAGGAAAGGCCACGTGAGGATACAGTGAGAAGGCGGCTGTTTGCAAGCCAAGAATCGAGGCCTCACCAGAAGCCAACCCTGCCTGCACCTTTATGTTGGACTTCCAGCCTGCAAAACTGTGAGAAAATACATTTCTGTTGTTTAAGCCACCCAATTTGTGGCATTTTGTGATGGCAGCACAAAATGAAAAGTCAGAATATCTACAGTGTGATGCTCAAGACCAAGGAGGTGACAATCCCTCTCCCTGGGCCACCTTGCCTGTCACCTGGTGTTCCTTTAAAAGGCACTTGACAGGCTGGAGCATGACCAGGGAAGACACGCCCTAGCAGACTAAGATGTAGCCATGGCGTTGACTTTGCTGATGTTGGTGAAAAACGAATACACACCGGCATTGTGTGTAGACCTTGGTCTGAGGCATTAAGCAATGACACCGAGAGGTCATTTGCAAGAGGGGAGGGCAAGGTAGTGAGAGGCCTGTGGGCAGAACCAGACTGTTCACAGTCTTAGTCTGTGCTTAGTCATCCAAGAGGCTGCCAGGACACTGTAAAAGGAAGGAGCATTTGCCTTGTGGTGTACTGAAAACACTTGGGCTTCCCTTGAACATAGATATAATACAAATGTTTTAAAAATATAAACATATATTCTTTTTTAAAGAAGAGAGTTACATGAAGAAAACAGGCAATGACAACGATTTCAATGGATGGCGACCTTTCAGCCATTTTTTCTTCAAGCAATTTACACAATGTTTTATGCTCCTAAAATACTCTGCTTGTATTATTTTTACCCCTTACATTTCTAGAATAGTGAGTGTGCTCTTGAATGGAATGCAATTTCAACCAGATCATTTCTCATTGAACCAGTTTTGTGCCACATTTTCTCCAGTTTTGTTTCCTATTTGGGGTGCCATGATGTCCTTCCCTCTCCATCACATGGGGACAAGCGGCACACATACCACGCCATGGCCTGGCTCACCTTCTCACAAAACTCCTCCCAACCTCTAGAAAACTCTAGGGCTCAGTCCAGCATGGCATACTTTTCCTGGCACAAACAGCAGATGCCAGATGTTTAAATAGTGGTTAGGCAACAGGAAACTCGACATTAAACCCCTGTCATGACAGGAGAAAGCGGCGTGCACAGGTAAGTTCTGGCCCATGGATGTGCACCTGATTTCCCTGTCAGGGGTTAATGGCCCCCAGTGTTTTCTACCCAGGTCAAAGCCCCTGAGAATCAAGGAGGTCTTCACCTTGCAAGACCAGTATGGCCTCAGAGATGATGGACTCTTGTGCAAGATCTTGGGTTGCTACCCCAGCAAACACTGACTGATGAGGCTAAGACGTCAGCTAAGTAGCCCGAGCAGGCTCCCCGGGCTTGGCGTGCCAAGCATTGAGAGAGAGGGATGGCTTGGGCCTTTGTACTTAACTCACTAGCTGACCCTATCTCAAATCAGGACAGGCCCTGCAAACTGTGTGCACACGTGTGTGTGTGTGTGACTCTATGATAGATGGATCTATTGGAAAATCATAATTCTGTGTCCCTGGCACTTCCCTCCAGCATTCTTTCCTAAGATCTGGCATTTGTAGAACCACTCACTGTCCCCTTAACTTTCCTGCAGGCTCTAACCTGACCCCTCTTTTCTCCAGCCCCTGAGGCCCTTATTGCTGGCACCTCCTGGTCTCCCCAGCTCCCCCAGGGCAGACTTGCACCTCTCTCCCAGGGCCTGACATGGCCACAGGCCTCATGTGCACAGGAACCCAGACCACGTGGGGCATGCAGTTGGCACCCTGCCTGTTTCTTTTGCCTGGCTCAGGAGAGAAGCCACACGTGGGCTCTGTGCACAGGAGGTGCCTAAGACCACAACGTGATGGCTCAGTAAGAACTTGGTGGTGCAGCAGGGAGGGAGGGGACATGACTCAAGCCCCTGAGTGGCCTCCGTGTGTCACTGACCTGGAACCTCACGGGTTACCCTGCCGGTGTCTGCTGGGGCCTGCTGCTCCTGAAGGAAGACAGCGGCTGGGATCAGGGCAGCTGGCTTCCTGCCACGGGTCAGCACCATCACCTGAAGCCCCCAGGAAGGAAATGTTCCCACCCTTGGCTCTCGTCTGAACAGCCCTCTCATCCCCATCGGCAGCGGGACCTCTGGCCCTGTCAGACAACTGGGGCCAGAGCAGGGCTTCTGACCTTGAAGATGCTCAGCGGAGATTTGGGGCTGAAGGCCCATATGCTCCCGCAGCCCCGTGGAGAGAGGGTCCAGGGTGGTTCTCTCTGCCTGTGCCCTGCTGAGCAGGCTGGGGCAGCCAGGGGTCACCTCCTGCTCCCAGGATGACACCATCCCTGGGTGGTCCAGCGGCCTCTGCGGCATCTTTCCGCTTGCCTGGTTCACTCATAGTCAAATGATCTGTTAACAAAACCGTTAAGCCCTGGACAACCCTCCAATTACTGATGAACAAGCCCCATGAGGACAGAGCCCTGCGAGGGGAGGAGGCTTCCTGAGCAGGGCTGGGGCAGGTACAGCTCAGGCGAGGACGAAGAACCTTGTGCAGATGGAGTTTCGAATTCCACGGGCTCTGAGACACACACTGCCTGGAGGAGGGTGTGTGTATCAGGAGTGGGGGCTGGAAAGTCAGGGCAAGGGTGGGATGGGGGTTTGGTTTCAGATCCATGTTGTGAGCCATTCAGTCAGACTTGGGAGATTATTTTGGACAACCTTGCTTTAAAAGCAGTGGTGGTCCTGAGGCTAAGGTGCTCCAGACCCGATTTCTCCTCCAAGAATCTTTAGGATTTACAGTAGTGGTCATAACAACAGCTAATATTATTCGAGCCTACTACGTGCCAGGCACTGGGTTAAGACTTTACATACATTATTTAATCCTCAAAGCATGTCTGTGAGGATGGCACTATTACCTCCAAGTTACAGATGTGGAAACTGAGGCTTAGAGACACCCTTTTTCTAGCAGAAGTTCATGGGGTTAGTGGGAAGTGGAGTTTGAATTTACCCAAGCAGTCTGCTGCAGAATCTGGGCTCTCAACCACCATCCATGCTGCAAGCCACATCCTCACAATCAATTCTCTCTGCCTGCAGCCTTGGCTGTTTGGTCTGGAGGAGCCAGAGAATTCTTTTGGTCCCATCTATTGACGTGGCCATGGAGGACCTGGCCCCGGCGGTGTCCCTGGCACCCTGATTATCCAGCTGAATGCCACGGGATACTGAAAGCCCCTGAGGGGAGGTAGGAGGAGCTCTCCCAAGACAGATAGCTCCCGGAATTAGGGAGAAGTTCCCAGCAACAGGCTGCTTCCTTCCGGTTGTTATGGTCAGTGGAGGATTGTCAAACGTTACAATGGGAGAAGGGGATTTTCTTCTGTTCACGGTGGACGCCCTGGGAGCTAGGTGTTTCAAATGTCATATCTCCTGGGACTCATTAACCTGGGCCCCTAAAAGGCCACGGACACTGAAAGATGGCCCTGGTACCAGTAAAGTAATCACAGTGAACAGTTTTATAGTGATTCCTGCATGCTAGGCAATATTCTAAGCCTACGAGTATGTAAAATAACTCAATCCTCATGACTGTAAGAAGTGGGTTCTAGTCTTCTCCCCCTTTTATAGATGAGGAAACTGAGGCAGAGTTCCAGAGCCTGTATGGTCTGGGGCAGGATATAGTGGAGGTGCTTGGGTGCAGAAGGAAGTTTGAAACAGATGGACTTCTGTCCCCAGAGGCGTGGGTCAGGTGTCGGGGGGTGACGGGCTGCAGAACGAGCTCTCCTAAGGGCACTTTCCATCCCCGTATGCCTGGGGCCCTGAGCACTGACCTGCTTTCATGTGAAGGGAAGGGGAAGTCACAGAACCCTGGTGGGTGATTCTCAGCTCAGTGCTTTGTGCCCACATTCATCAGACGCTTCTGGGGCATCTCTGAGTGCTGGTACCGGCTTGGATACTGAGGGGGGAGTGGGGATGAAATAGCATCCTTGCTGCCCCTGACCCCGGGGCTCACAGTCGAATGGTCTCACAGGCACTCGACCGAGGCACAGTGCACGGCTAGACTGGAGAGCCAAGGCCTGGGGTGGTTACGGGGCAGCCTGCAAGCAGAACAGCAAAGGATGAAGTGGTGGCAAGCACCGAGTCAGCGCTGGCCGTTGTCCCCAGAGCAACTGGGTTGTTGGACAGGGTGTGGCAGGGCCAGACCTGCATTTTGAAAAATCACTCTGGCAGCACCGTAGAGCCAGACTGGAAGGAATGCACTGTGGGCTGGGAGGCCAGTGTGCAGGCCAGAGGTGACGGTGGCCTGATGGTGGGGTGGTGGGGGTACAGAAGAGCAGAGGACATATGTAGAAACCTGAATCGATTGAGTTTTCAGACTTAGTGCTAGAGGTGGACAAAGGGCTGGCCACAGACAACGCAGGCCTTGAGTCTGAACCCTGAATGAATTCATGTTGGCATTTCTGAGGCACAGACACAGGAAGAATAGGTCTGTGGGAAGACAGTTTCAGTCTGGATAAAATTCTGTGCCTCTGGCCTGAGTGTGGGCGAACAGCTTTATCATGCATTCCCAGCTTCTTCCAGAATATTTATGGAGGCTGTGGAAGGAACAATGTGCCCTGGACATGTCAGAGTGTGGGGCAAGGAGAGATGAGATCAGTGCCAGGCCTCACACCTGGGGAGAGCCATCCTGAGTCCTCCTGACAGAAAAGGGATGCATCCCACCTCCCTTTTAGGGAAGGGGTCCCCATCCCTAAGTTAAATGGCTTGACCAGGGATTGCCAGCCCTGTGGACAAGCATGGGCTTCTTCCATCTCCTCTGCGCTGGGGAGGGCCTGGCCTTCTGCCCCTTCCCTAGCCTCCTTCTCTGCTGAACTCTCTAGACCCTGGACCAGAGGCAATAGCCAGAGCTGCTTTTGGGGTAAGCAGGCACAGTGCTATGTACGGACATGTCCGCAATCTCACTCAATCCTCCCTGAGGCCCTGTGAGGGTGGTACTGTCACCCCCACTTTAAAGATGAGGAAAGAGGCTTAGAGAAGTGAGGAGGCTTGTCCCAGTCACACAGCTATTCCCTGTGCCTCAAAGTATTTTCACAAGATCTCATCACTGTTACTTGTGAAGACAGGGATGAATGCAGCAGCGAGGATGAATGGTGTGCCATGAGGTGGAAGTCCAGTGCCAGAATAGGAAGGGAGGAGCTGGAGAACCAAAGGAAGGGGCTGAACCATCCCTCTCTCCCAGTACGGCCTCCCAGAAGGGAGGACAAGCCTGTAGATGGATCCTCATGACCCCTCACCCTAGGCCCCTGCAAAATATGAAGTCCGAAGAGATACCTTTCCCTGCTCAGGTTGACACGGGCTTTGCTTTCTGGTCTAGAAGCAGGTGGGAGCAGGTGCAGCCTGACTCTTCACTCCCAGCCACGCAGGTGAAGACACAATAGCCTTTCTGCAGCTCACCACTAGGCCTGGAGCTTGGGGCTTTAAAAGGTCCCCATACATCCTCTGAGCCACCAAAAACTGTTTGCCAAAGAAGGCAGGGGTAGAAATAGCTGCATTCATAGCCTGTGCTCTGTCATCAGGCACGCACAGCTGGGTTCACGGGATCCTGGGGTAGTAACACTGACTCCAGGTCTCACCGAGGCCTGAGCTTGGCCACACCTCTCCCCATGTGTTAGCTCGGTGGTTCCAATCCAACAACGAGACAAATGTCTTAGGTACTTCATAACAGGATTCAAATGGAACGAATTCTTTTTTCCTCCCTTATCACTTTGCACACATGAAATCTATTTTTAATTAGCTTTCAATACATCATCTAAAAAAAAAATCCTACAGCTTGCTCCCACCCCCAAATTGTTCTTAGAGAAAGAAAGATTTGTCTTGTAAGTTTCTTAAGAAAATCTATATGTGCTCAATGCATTTAAATAACACTCATTAAAGTGAATGGCACACAAGCTGGCTTCTCTAGTCACAGATGAGAGACAATCGCTTGACCTACTGCAAATCAAAAAGCATTTCCACGCCACCTTTATTTTTCAACTGGTTAAGTTTTAAATTAAAGTCCCAACGCCCTTTTTGGAAAGGCAGACTAATAGGGCCCCAACTGAAATTTGAGCTCAGTCGATCAGAAGATAATTACAAGAAACAAAATGTGAAATTTTAAATCTGGGCACTAATGAAGTCTAAAAATACCAGTGGCCCATCCCTCTGGCTGGCAAGACCTGTTCTTCATGGAGGGGAATCTCCCCATAATTACTCAACCCCGGGAGAGGCCAGGTTGTCACGTCAAACAATAGCAGGGAATATCGGGGACTTTAACGAGCTAGATCTCAAGGCATTGCATGGTGGATCTTATTATAATGCTGGGCAAGGTTTCAAACAGAGAACAGGAGAAAAGGAAAGTTCTTTTTTTTTTCTAAAGTGGAGTTCTGACTTGTGTTGACGCCATCACGCAGAGCCTCCTGTTCCTGCCTGGAGCCAGCTGTCTGTCATTTAGGAGTGTGAAATCAATTGGGCTTCAGAGATGTAAAATCCCTAGGGGCAAAATTAAAAGTGACCCAGATCCAAGCCCACCTGGTCCTGTCAGGAACACGACTCTCACATGGCAAGTTTCAAAGATTTAGTTTCAAAATTCGGGTTTCTTATTTTAAAAAATATGCAGTTGTTTGACATTAGATCTGACAGACAAATTATAGCTTCAGCAATAAAGGCTTTTAAGATTAGAAATGAAAAGAGAAATTACTTATATATTAAAAAAAGAAAAAACCCACCCAGGCTTGAGTTTGGAGGCATTTGTAGGCGCGTGCGTCACTCTTTCTTCCCTGCAAATATAAGGGGCTCCATCAGCTGATGAGGCCGTAAATAGAGAAGCGAGTTACATGGAATTTCGAGGAAAGAGCCAGTGTGCTGGCAACCTCTGGAAATCAGGGTGATGGACCGGTCAGTTGTTGTCACTGGCTAGAGCTGGTGGGTCCCGCTGGCTCACCAGAAGGCAGGGCTGAGGACACTTTCTAGGCCCACCCCATCCCTGGCCCTCACACCTGGCCCTCGGTCTGCCCAGTGGGGCCTGGTAGAGGGAATCTTAGCAGGGCCCCTATTTCTTGTCCCCTCCCTTCCATTGGCTCAGGACCACCACAGAGGATGGTTCACACCCTCAGGTCCTTGCACAGAGGTTACAGGAACAGCTCTGCAATGGTCATTGACCCAGTGGGCACAGAAGTCCTGCAGGGTCCTGTCCCCGCCACCTGTGTCTTTCTGATCTCATGGGCTCAGGGCTGACAATGTTTAGCTGCCTGCACCCAGCAGCTTTGGTGGGGCAGATCCCAGCTTGGTGCTGAGCCCCAGACTAGGGACTCCAGTCCTTTCTCAGCTAGTTACCTTTTTGCACAAAACAGCTCCTTTTCCTAGATGCGTGCCTGGAACGTGGCAAGCCAGCAAGATCTTGCATTAGCCCAGAGGGGCTATGTGGGGACAGAATATGCCACCCGGTGCCTTGGGCTTTGGCATAGCCTTGGAAGTAGGATGCCCGCTGCCCAGTTGTCAGAGTTGGTAACTCATGAACTTGAACTGGGAGTAAGTTTCTTTCTTTCTTTTTTTTTTTTTAAAGGGAGACAGAGCTTAACCAAAACAATGCAAAGAAAAAATCAATTTAGTCATTTTTTTAAAAAAGATCTTAAAGCAAGAGTTTACCAGAATTTAGATGTAATTTTCTACAATTTTGTCATTTAAAACTAGTGCTGATTTCCAAAACAAAGGCAGTTAGGGCTCAGTCAGATTGGGAATTAAACCCAACAGAGATCCAGACATGAGCTTTATTGTTGGGATGCTTGACAAGGCATGAAAATTGCTTGAAATGACAAAGGAAGAGACTTGGGAGAGAAGACAGGAGAGTGGCTAGTGGGGTTCCTTGCTCTGCCGAAAGGCAGAGCACCCCGAAATGCCATCTCAAGGGGTTTTATGTGGGAAGGCTGGGAAGTTGTGCCCAGAGATGCATACTTTCTGGGACCGTCTAGTGTCCTCTTTCAAAAGAGATGTAGACACCCCGTTGGGCCAGACTGTTTGCCATGGACCCTTATGCCCCCACTGCCTGTACCTGGCAGTGGCCCAGCAGCCTTCCCCACTGCATCCAGCAGGAGCAGGGACTTGGCTTGTCTGGGGCACTAAGGGCTAGGCAAACCTATAGCAGAGGAATCCAGCAAGCCTCATATGTGTGCCCTGGTCCTCCTGTCCCCTTCTGCCTTCCAGTCTGGACTGATCCCTCAGACAGACATCAAGAACTCTAACCCTAAGACCGGGGGCTCCAACTAGGACCATGTCTAGCACGCATCCTTCCCGAGGCTCTGTTCTGAAGGATCTACCTTCGAGTTCCCTGGAATGAAACTCCCCTGAGGCTGGGGGAAGAGGGTTAACTGAAGGCTGAGGCTGGAGGTGCTCTTTCCCAAGGTCTCACAAAGCCACCCCTGGATCCTTGAAATGAAACATTCAAGTGCCTCAAGATGGTCTAGGAATGTCTCTTGGGCCTAACTAAATTGCCTTGGGCAGTGCTCTCATCCGATGGCACGACAGAGAGTGCCTTCCCTGGGAAGGACACAGTACATGCTCTGAATGTCCTCATGGATGGAATGTGGAGAAGGCCCCCAAAGGGACTGTTCTGCGGTGCCCTGAGAGGAGTGGATGACTCTCACCCTTTTGCAGCTTGGCCTGGCCTTGGGGGTTGGAGGTGAGAATGGCCAGGGCTTGGGCTGGAGGGGGACGGGCTCTGGGCTTTGCAGGCTCTCCCTTCCTTCCTCTTCTTACCCCGGCGCATTTTCCCACTTTGTTTGTCCCGCCCTCCACACCTTCCCCCTCCCTCCCCCATCTCAGGCCAGTTGTCTTGGGCAGGTGGAGGCTCCACTGCAGCCTCTGGGTTGGGGAGGCCAGTGAAGGAGCTGGCATGAAGCACCCCCTGTCCCGGTGGTGTTGCAGTGACCGCGCAGGGAGGTGCAGACGCAGGCCCGTGGGGAGGCACGTGGCAGCAGGACTTACCTCTGGGGTGCCCCGGGTCGGTGAACTCATACTTCCCCACGCCAATGGTCCGCAGCATCTGCAGCCCGTGGGCCGAGTCGGTTGTGGGGGGCCCATTGGTGGCAGGGGCACCACTGGGGAGAGTGGCGGACGGCTGGGCTGGCGGCGGTGGAGGCAGCAGGGGCCCTGCCATGTGGCCGTTGCCCACAGCGGTGGGTCCTGGGCGGGCCACCTGCCCCACACCGGGCAGTGTGGACACGGCCAGGGGCTGAGGGCTGGCATACAGGGCCTGGGCAGGCATGTTGACCACCACGCTGCTCAGTGGCTGAGAGGGCGGCTGAGGGAGCGAGTAGTGGCCTGGCATCAGCGGGAGCTGGGGCCCCACGTGGGGAGGCAGTGAGGGGGTCACCCCAATGACCGGGGCCTGGACGTTCACAGCCGGGCTGAAGGTGGGAGGCTGGGCCACTCCATAGGAGTGTGCAATCAGGGTGGGCTGGTTCCCGGCGGCCACCGTGGTCACCCATGGCCCTGTGCCTGCAAGGGAGATGGAAGAAACGTCATCTGCCGGTTACATTTTCATTCAACAAACACTGACCATCCCCGGCCCTGCACTGGGTGCTAGGTCACAGAGGGGAACGAGACACCTGCGTCCAGGAACTGACCGATTAGGAATCTGTGATCATGGCAGCCCAGGATAAGTGTGCTAGGGGGTCTACGAACAAACAGCCATCGGGGCTCAGAGGAGGAAGTGAGGCCTGCCTGGGAGAGGTGAGAGGCAGCAGAGCAGAGAGAAGGAAGCAGAGCCCTTTGAGAGACTTGGGTTCCACTCTCAGCTCTGCTACTTAGTAGCTAAGAGCCTCAGGAGCAAGTTCTTTTTTATTTTATTTTGAGACAGAGTCTCACTCTGTTACCCAGGCTGGAGTGTAGTGGCGCGATCTCAGCTCACTGCAACCTCCGCCTCCTAGGTTCAAGCAATTCTCCTGCCTCAGCCTCCTGAGTAGTTGGGATTACAGGTGTGCACCACCATGCCTGGTTAATTTTTGTATTTTTAGTAGAGATGGGGTTTCTCCATGTTGGCCAGGCTGGTCTCGAACTCCTGAGCTCAGGTGATCTGCCCGCCTCAGCTTCCCAAAGTGCTGGGACCACAGGTATGAGCCACCACGCCTGACCTCAGCAAGTCCTTATTTCCTCTGAGCCTCATTCTTCTCATCTGTTAAATCCTACCTCAGGGGACTACCAGGAAGAACAGAATGAGGAAGATGTATTTGGAAACAAAACAAAACAAAACTAGCAGAGTGTCTGGCATGTGGTGAATGCCCTATAAATGCTGGGGTTTCTCCTCCCTTTCTGCAAGCTCGCCTCTGAGGGAGGCAGGGGAAGGGGATGGTGGAGATGGGGGTGTTCACTGGGCCCTCAGGTGAGGGCGCTAGAGCCCGGGGCCGGGCATGGTCCTCGCAGGAGGGGAGGGACCCTGGTGGGGGACGTATGGAAAGGCTGGCCGGGCCTTGCTGGGGAGGGCAGGCCTTGTGCTAAGCAACCTGGGCACGGCCAGCCCTGGGGGAAACAAGAGAACCCCACTTTAGTCCTTAAGAAAAATATGGCTGAATGAGGTGGGGTCCAGATACATCTCTTGAGAGCCAACACAAGAGGCGAGGTCAGCTGTGCCAGGCGGGGTGACCTAAGGGGGCCTGTGAGGGAAACTGGGAGACACCATGACAGGGAAGGCCAGTCTGGGATGCCTCTGACTAAATGAGCCTGGGTCCAGGTCTCCATGGCCCAAATGGTACCTTGGTTTTCACAGCTGCTCTGAGGTGGCAGTGTACACTGAGGATGGGGAGACAGAGGAAGGGGAGTAGGGGGCAGGGGGCCACTCAGCACCACAAGCCCCACAGGATAGAATGTGGAGCTGGGAGCTCCCTCTCAGAAAGAAAATGGCGCCGAGGTGGGGCAGGAGCTAAGATGGCGGGTCACTACCAGCCCACTGTCCAAGGGAGAGCCACCAGCTGGTGGTGAGGAGCAAGGCTCGGAGTCACATAGACCACGGTACGAGGCCTGCATCGCCCCTTCCCAGCTGAGGGACCGTAGGCCCAAGCCTTTCCCGAGCCAGTTTCCTCCTCAGCAGCAGGCACTATTGCTGTAAGCCTTGTGATGATGCACAGAACAGGGCACGCAATACATGTGCAACGCATATTTATGATTTTGATAACGAGAGAGGTCGGGGAGAACTGGAAGCCAACAAACATAAGTGAAGTAATGGCAAGATTCTAGAATGTGCTGCTAATGGGAACTGTCCCCAAGCCTGAAGAGGGGAGGTGGTGTCATTATGAGCCAGCCTGGGTGTCTTAAGCCAAAGCATGTCATCCCAAGCTCTGCTCTTTCCAGGATTAGCCAGAGAGCCTGGAAAAATGCATCAGAACTTCAAAGCGTAATGGGTGGGGCCCCAGGGGACTCTGTGGCAGAGACACAGAGACACAGTGCCATGGAGGTGATTTACTTATGATGGGGTGAATGGCCCAAGGGTACAAGAGACCTAAAGAGAAGTCTCTAGTTATATGTCGCCAAGCTCCCAGCATTTTAATCCGTGACTTGGATAATGACGTGGAAGACAAGACCAGGTCTGCAGGGAACATAATTGGGAGGGGTAGGGTCAGCAACAGAAGCTGGTGTCTAAGAGATCCTAAGAGCAAACAGGAACACTGATGAAGCCTTGCTATTGGGTCTCCAAACCCAGCTGCCTAAGCCCAACTGTGAGGACATGAACAGGGGTAACCGTAGCTGCTGGGGCATCTCGGGGTGCTGTTGAAGCAGCATGTGACGTGGCTACTAGCTGAGGAGTGATGAGACCAGAGGTGCTGAAGGAAGCATGTGCCGGGCAGACCACTGTTGAGTTCTGGCCACTGCACTTCAAGAGGGATGCAGGGGGCAGAGCAAAGCCTTGGAAGGCAAAGGGCCTGGAATCTATGGGCTGTGGGGCATGGCTGAATGGCCTGGTGTGTTTATTCCAAGACTTTGAGAGGGGGATGAAGGGGGTCTCCTGACACCTGTAGGGCTGTTGTGTGGAGGGCCAAATCGAGGTGTTCTGTGTATCCTGAGGGGGCGCTCTGGGGCCAATGGGAGATAAAAGAGAGGGCATTCATTATGGCTGGAGCTGTCCAAAGAAGGGCTGGGATGTTGTACAAGCTGGCGAATTAATTCCCAGTCCCCGAGGGTAGAACACCCCAGTTGTCATACAACCACCAGCAAGTAAAAACCTTACTGGAAGGCATGACTCGAGAAATTTGTTATGAATCAGAGTACCCAGGTTTGGGAATGATGATTCAAAAGAATCTAGACTCAATTGAAAGTCACCCTGATAATGTCATTCTCACTCCTTTTGCTCTCTGGAGTCCTTGAGTAGCAGAGGAAGACGCAGAGGGACAGCTCCTTCACAGGGAATTACACACAGTGCCTTTGCCCCCTGAACCTGAGGAGGGGGCTTCTGCAGGCCCTGGGTTCAAGACCTGCTGTGCAGGAGTTGGGGTCCCCAGGAAGCCTCTAGCTTCCCGCCAAGCCCTGGGCTCAGTCGTTTCTATCTGCCGATGAGGTACGTACCTGGATTGTCACTCTCTCTCATCTGTTTGGAGGGTGGCTCATCAGTGTCCCAGGGTGTGGACTGATTGATAGGCGTCTGCCCCCACCGGATGCTGGTCGCCAGTCCCTGGGACTGACTGTCCCCTTTGGAGATGCCGGGAGCCTGTGGGAAGCAGATGAGGAGGTGAGCATAGCCTGGCCAGAGACCAGCCTCCAGAACAAGACTCCCTAGGAGGGACCTAGCCTCCAAAACAAGACTCCAGTTGCCTAAGCTTCGCCCACTGAGTACAGGGTCAGAGGCAGAGCCTCAGCCCTCCACCCAGTCTTTGGTGGGAATTGCAGGGGGTTCTGCCATAGTAGTAGCAGCTGGGACCTCTGCTAAGCTCCTGCCTCTAGGAACATCCAAGCCAGTGCCTCCCTTGTCACCCTCCGTGGCCACTCACTCCACCTGCCCTATCACAACGGGAAGAGCATTCTGAGATATGAGATGGGTTCTCTGGCCCTCGGACCATCCACAAACCACAACCACACAGATGCTACCAACTTATCGGGCATGTGCTGAGTACTGACTGTGTGCCCAGCCCAGCCTCTGTGCCACCACTAGCTGGCTCTTGGACATGGGAGAGGACAGCTTTCCAAGGGGCCACCAGCAGACAGCAGGTGAGGGACTTTATACATTTCCTATCCTGCCCCCACACCAGCCTCTGAGGCCCAATTGTCCTATGGAGGAAGTGTGGGGAAGTGGGGAGCTGAGGCCCATGGCGGGGATAGCTCAGATACTGCTCCTAGGTGGATGGTGGGACCCTCAGCTCCTCTGTGCAGGAAGGAGACAGGCTTTCTGCTCCATGAGCCCACTCTCTAGTTCAGATTTGTAGATGAAGGAAAAAATAAACCTCAGAGTGAAAAAAAAAACACCAGGACAGTATTTGTCTCCCTGAGCCACAGCCTTATAATGGAATATTATATAGCTATCAAAAATCATGTGTACTAAGAATTCTTGATGACAAAATGCTTACATCATAATGTTTAATGAGAAAAACAGGCCACAGAATGATACACAAATGGCCTCCCTATGTAAACATCCCTGTGTCAAACAATATGTGTAGGAGGGAAATGACCAAAATGTTAACAGGGATGTTATTCTTGGGTGAGAGGATTATGGGTAACTTATTTTATTGTCTATACTTTTCTGTATTTGTCTTTTTTTTTTTTTTTTACTATGGCCATTATATGTAATAGGAAAAAAAAAATCCTGGATACATGCTGGCAAGGTTGGGATAGGATACCTGGGATATGCACAGGTGTGGGTGTCAGTAGAGGTGGCCCCGGGAAGAGTCAGCACAGCTCCCAGGAGCACAGCCAGACCCCAACCAGGTGTGGGATGAGGGGTGGATACGGATGCCTGCCAGGAACAGTCACAGAAGCACACAGGAGCCTCCGGGGCATCTGCAGGCCTCTCAGGTGAGGACCATGGTCCTCACGGTGACTTCTGATGAAACTTGACCCAGGAACCCAGCTGGTGGGAGACAGGGCCTGCTGCTGAGCCCCTCTGACCAGAGTGGCTCTCCTGGGTTCTGTGCCAGGGACAGAAAGGGGGTGTGGATGCGGAGGCTGGGCAACACTTGGGGCTTCGACGCATAGTGCAGACGACACACAGCGCCTATGTAAGGGCCTGCTGGAGGAACGGGAGCCGTATCCCATTAGGACCTGTGGGCTGCGCTCAGCTAATTGCATCAGGCTGCACTTTATCTCTGGCCTGCATTTCAGATGCTTTGCTTTTGTGAACAGAGCAAGAAACAAAGGAAAAGGGTGAATCTCCTGAGAAAAGAACAATTCAAGGGACAAGCTTCCTTATCAGAGGGCCTGCCCCATTTCTATCTGTGGGACAGGCAGAGGCTGGGAGGAGAGGGGGTTGGGGACTTAGCCGCACTCACTAATAGTCTTAGGGAACAATAGCATGGTTTTTCCAGCATTCTCCAAATAGACAGCTTTTAACGAGTGCCCTGTCTGAAGGATCTATCCACTCCACAGCCTTCGCTGTATTTCCAGGCTCTCCAGTCCTGGAGGCTCAGAGGCAGGAAATTGCTTTCCTCGGAATCAGAGGCATCTGAGGGAGAAGGAGCCTGTGCCAAGTCCCACACTGGGCCTGGGAGCAAAGTGTGAATGCTAAGATCCCAGCCTCCTGACCGGCACTCCCTTCCTGGACAGTACAGAAGCCCCTCCTGCCTGGAGGGGGTGTTGCAGCCCCTCTCCACCGTGTGGGATCCTAGAGGTGTCCCAGGCAAGAGGCTGCAGAGGTTTTCAGCCTCTTCCGACAGCCACTGCTTCTCCCCTCCTGAATCACACTCCGGCCTGGCAACTCGACAGGGTAGGGAAGCTTCTGGAAACTTGCCCTGGAGCAGCCCCTGCCTCCAGGAGAGGAGGTTGGGGTCTCCTCGAGTTTGGGTCCCCATGTTCTGAGCGCTAAAACTTCAGGAGTTCCAACGGTCACCCTAAAATTGGTGGAGTTTCTGAACTTGAAAAATCTCACACTTTTCCAACACAGATTGCTCAGCCCCTTGGCTTCAAAGCACTCCTACCGCTCACTCATTTAGTTTGTTTCTTCTGCTGTATGTCTGTGTCGGGCACTGCTCGAGGCACTAGGGACACGGGTGACCAAGACTCAGCCCTGCCCTCAAGTGGCTGCTGTGGGACAGTGGGAGGACTCAATATATGAACAGCTCGAGGGAAAGAAGCTGGGGTATCCCGGGTGTGCAGAGGCGGGCCCAGATGGGCTGTGAGCAGGCGAAGTGGGCTACAACCGGCCTGCTGTTTGGCTGTGTCGTTCATGAATACTACAAGCAATTTCTTATGTATAAGAAAGCAGCTCTGTGGTGAGAATCAAGTCTTTTTTTTTTTTTTTCCTTTAGGGTAGATACATAAGGCTACCCATTTTCTACTGAGCACTCACAACATCTGAAGCTACAAGCAACCTGTAGTTCAGGAATTTTATGTATTTTATTAAAATAATGCAATGACATTCCTTCCTCCACTTCCTCCAGAAAAAACCTGGACACGGGGTGTGCCCTTTGCCGAGGAGGCTGGGCCCCCGGGTGGGTGACGTGCAGAGCCACTGGTGATGTGCGTCAGCGCGGCCTGACTAGAGGCCCCTCCTACGACGAGTTCCAGGCCCTCAGTAAACCCATGTGGTCCCCGGGTTCTGGAAGCTTCTAGGGGACCATGTTCAGGGCCGTGGGTCCAGCTCTGAGCCCAGCTCCTGCTAACTCTTTCCTCCCATGGTTCAGAATGTCTGCAAGCCCAGGCCACCCTGATTTCCATGCCTCCTGGTCGGGAGGGCTGCCAACACAAGAATGCCACGAAAACCAACCAGAAGAACTTAGCCCGGGCAGCAGGGAAGAAGGCAGAATTGAGCAAGCTTCCCCTCGTGCCCTCCCACTGCCATCATCTGGGACACCAGTGAAGCCACCCAGACCTTTGGCCGTTCCCCAGTGTTCCTGGCCATGTTTTCTGCTCCAGTGACATGATGGCACTTGGCAGAGAGAGGCAGACCAGGAGAGCCTCTCTGTGCCTGGCCCCACGGAGTGGCCCTATCTGCCCATCATCAGGCCTGAGCAGGCTTCTCTTGGCTTTCCCTTAATGAGATGCTAATGGGATGCATCATTAACGCAGCAGCTTTTTAAACCCTGAGCTCTTGTAAATTTTCAAAGGTCACAGTTTTATGGCAGCTGACAGCATCCTGCTTCTTTCAGCGACTGAAGAACACTAAAGACCGAGGGCCTCTACGGTTGAAGCTCTCCGTGAGGCAGCGCAGAGGGGGAGGCACCTGCTGGCCATGGGGGCTGGGGGCCTCCACCCTGCAGCAGTCTCAGAGGACACGTGGGTTCACTCCACCAGCTTGGGGGGAACCAGCTGTGCATGGCCCACACAGCTGCTCTGAGGGACCAGCTTCATTTAGGGAAAGGTGTGTAGGGCCGCAGGTGGTATGCAATGAAAGATTCCTGGCAGAGGGCAAGGGGCTGACACTCACCTGGGGAGGCAGGAGCAGTGGATGCCCATGGAGTACCCTTTGCTCACCAGGCTGTGTACCCACGAGTCTGCGACACACAGCCCCGAGAGGCTTTTGCTAATTTGTCCACCCAGAGGAAACCCCTTTTTCTACTTTGCACAAAGGTGCCATATAGACTAGCAGCGTCCTGTGTGGCCAGGGAGGTTTGAGAGATGGCAGGGACTCCCCTGGGGTCCTCCCAGGCCTTGCTTGTTCTCACCTCTACTCTCTGTGTACCCAATGATCACAGTACTTAATGCACTGCCCCCAGGGCCTTGTTTCTGCCCTGTCTTTGCAAAGCTCCATGACTCCATGAGGGCAGGGTCTCTGAGCTAAAGTGTTGGCCAGTGGAAGAAGCATATATCACTGCTGGCTCGATGAATGAATGAATGAATGAATGCACAGGGTGGATTCCAGGGAGAGTGAATGACACGAGTCACAGAGCAGAGCAGTGAAACAGCACGGTTCCCTCATTGGGGGTGCTGAGGTTTCCACGTCATGGGGGCCGGGTGTGCTGGGACCCTTAACACTGTTGCCCTGGATGCTGCTGGAGGCTGCCTGGAGCCCTGGATGGCCCAATCCACTGACCAGCAGAACTCATTAGCCCCTCCGGATGCTTGGGTGTGATGAAGGCATGGACACTGAGGAGTGACTACTGCCTCTGTGGAGCTGGGGGAACCTGGGGGAGTCTCCTGGAGAAACTAGAACACAGCACCCTCCACTGTTTGCCCAAGGATGTCAGAAGAGGGTGAATCAATGAAGCCTCGAGAAGAAGCTTCCAGAAGAGATGGGCTGGGCCTGGGCCACAAAAGCTAGGCAGGATTCGATCTGGCAGATGGATGGGGGCCCAAGTCACTGCCAAAGGACCCCACAGCAACCAGTGCATTTTCAGCCTAGATACATCTGACAGAGACAGGCTTCAGAGTCCACTTCCGGGGTGCACATGGGCCTTTCCTGGAGGGACGATGATGCCAGCACCCACAGCCCTCTCCTGCCAAGGAAACTGTCTCCCAGATGGGAACCTGCAGGCCACGATGCTCTGTACCATGTGGTGCAGACAGGGCTGGCGGGGCTGCCTTCTGCCAAGCATCACTGAGCACGCACTCTGGGTCAGGGGCACCACCGTGTACCAGGCATCTGTGCTGGGCAAGGTCCTGCCCTGGAGGAACTTACAACCAGCAGAATGGGACACCTACACCAGGGAGCCGTGGGGGTCACACAGGCTTGGAGAGAGACCCAAGGAACAGACCCATGATGTTGTCTCGCTCCCATCCCTGTTAATAGAGAGACTGGTGCCACCATTAAGAAAAGGTGGGGTAAAATCATGAGGAAATGCAAAGGGGAGACCAGACCAGGGAACACGGGGAGAGAAATGAACGCTGAGGACATGCAGGCCACGGGGCTCCTGGAACTGCCACAGTTGAGCCTTCAGCATAGCACGGAGCTTCCACTTAGTCAAATTAAACACACACACACACACACACACACACACACACACACGAGTGCTGTGACTCTTTTGACAGAGATGTCAGATGCGACACTATGCCAGTCCTGGGCCTATCTTTTTAAGAGGCCTTGAGGCTTCTGCCTTGGTATCTTAGACCCTCCAGACCATCAGCAAATCAGCTGAACATCACCAAGGGTTACTAGTCAATACCATGGGATCAGCAGAACTGTCTAGCCAAGCTCTCTCAGAATTCCTGTGCACAAATTTGGGAGATATTATAAAATGTGTCATTTAACAGCCACTAAAAAAGAAAAAAGTAAAAAAAAAAGGGATACACAGACTACTGTGTATCTTACCATTTTGTATATATTGCAAAATAGTAAAGGGCAAAGTCATTTGTGCCTTACTCTTGACATATAAATGTACAGTGTTACATGCATCTCTTTGTGTTCTGTAGAGGATTAGGGGCAGCATAAATATAGTGGGATTCTAATTACATAAATGCCAGAACTAAAGTCAGTGCAGCAGTTCCCTAACACAGCCCAGCTGGGTGGTGGGTGTGAAGTGGCCTTGGATGAAAACTTGAGGAGCCCCAGGGAAGACAATGCCAGGGACAACGCCAGACAAAGCTCCCTGTACCCGGACCTTCATCTGAAGCCTTGTTTCCATCTCTGGGCTCCCCACAACACCCAGCCCATTTGGGGAAGACAAGCTTTGGTGTGCCCATCCCACCTGCCTGGCCCTGGGTTCTGATGGCTCCTTCTGGCAAGGGATGCTCACGGGCGCTGGCCCTCCCTACAACTCTGGCATGGTTCTGATTGGCCATGCCAGACTTTTGGAACTCCCTACATCAGAAAACTTTCTCTACCAGCTTCCCCTGCAGCTAGGGCATGGCATGTGACCTGTGGCTCAAACCCACTTAGGTGAGACTGCAGTCTGGAAAGCTGGGTGATGTGAGGAGGCCAGCACTGCTCCGAGTCCATGCGCTGCAGAGGCTGGTGGCAGAGGAATGGGGATTTGGGAGCACGTGGGACAGGGAGGCTCTGGTGTCCTCAGCCCAGCACTGGTGGTGAATGCTGTCATTTCCTTTTTCTTCTCACTCTGCAGGGTTATTCCTAGGGCTCTTCTGAGAACAGCAAGAGCAAATTCGCACAGTGCTCCTAGCAGAAGTGCATTTGTTGCGGGCACCTCTGACCACCGGGCCCTGGCTTGCCCTGGGGGGAATCATATCACACCAGCTACGAGCTCCAGGAGGGGGGCATCACTGGGCAGGCCATTGCCTGCAAAGAGTGGATATTTCACTTCCTTTCAGCTTCCCTCCCTTTGCAGGGCACTTGAGGTCTTCACGGTGCCAGGTCCACCTGTGGGGAATGATGGCATCCAGCTTTTGGCAAACATATTCAGACCAGGGTGTTGGGGACTGAGCATGTGGGCCCCTCAGGGGCTCTTGCACTGCAAAGGTGAAGCCCCAGGAAGGCAGTTCTTACTTGAAAGGAATTACTTTCTAATGGTAGAAACTCAGGCTTGGGAAGGAGATATTTTGGTGTCTGGGATCTTTTAGATGACAGCTCATAGGTTTATAGCTAGGCTGTTAGGCTTTCTAGTGTTGGCAGGTTATCACTGAGAGCAGATTCCAAGATCACACAGGGAGGGCTTCTGACCACCACCACGGGGATCTCCAATGGGAGTGCACAAAAGCAGCATCTGGAAGACTTGTTAGAGGAATGGAAGTTTCTGGACCCCACCCTGGAGGTTCTGCTTCAGTTGGTGTTGGGCGAGGGACCCAAAAATGTGCCCCTTTAATAAACCTACAGGGGATGCTCGGCAGGTACTCCATGGACCTCACTCTGGGGATCAATGAAAGTCTTTGCGTTCAAATTCTTGGGCCTGTGCGTGGGGACTGAGGGGTTGATGCTGCTCATCAGGACCTGATTGGGAGAGTTTTGGGTCTTGCTTATGTGGCTCATGGAAACCAGCTCCTTGACGAGGCCACTTCTGAGGACTTCTGTTCTGAGCCTAGGTTTCAGGGGGTCAGAAGGACACGTTGAGAGCCACCAAAGCTGGAAATCTGTGGCCTCCGGGAAGCGCAAATGACATTCAAGGGTCTCTCAGTTCTCATTTCCTGATTGCTACTGAACTACAAATGAGAAGATAATCGCAGTTAAATCCCTACGCGGGGCCAGGGGAGGGTCTCCCAAGCCCCACCTGCCCTCATTAACGAGGCTGCCCTCTCTGGCCCCCTGGCCCCAGGCCTGCACCCTCAGCCTCCCCTTCAGAGCCCTGCCATAATGCGCTCCGGTGCCTGATGAAATTTCTAATAATACTAACCAATGATGTGTTAAATTGAGACACTTCTGGCTCGCATGCCGGAAACTGCATGATGGTTTAAAGGACCAGTGCTTACCTTTCTCTATCAACTTGCTGCTAAATTACTGCTTTCGGGGCAACTTACAGAAAAGTAATTCTTTATTTAAATTTTAATTTCAATCTTGTCCTTTAAAATATATATTCAGATTCCAATCATATTACAGAATATGATGATGTCTTTGGAGGGTAAACGAGCCTGCTGAGAGCCTGGGTGGGGGCAGAGGACGTGATGGGGCAGGTGGTAGGAGGGGCTGAATAGCGAGCGAGAGACAGAGGACAGGCTTGGTGAGGGCAGCCATGTGCTGGGCTGGGAGCTACAACTGCAGAACCCGTCTGGGCCCCAGGCCTGGCCCTGTCCTTGCCCTGTGATCCTCGGCTTGGTGGCCAGCCCCAAGGGTCATCTGTAAATACTTTAAGTGGAAACCACCAATCACTTCCTGTGCCCTTTCTCACTGGATCACTGTGAGGACGCAAGCCATAAACAGATGCCAGGCACAGATGAACTGGTCCTCCCTGGCCAGCCACTGTCCTAACAGCCTCCTCCACTCCAGGTGCCGGCATGCGCTGATTTCCTTTCATGAGGAATTCTGTGTTCTTACCTTCATTTCACAGATGAGAATAATAAGGGCCAGAGAAGTTCAAAAGTACTCAGGGCAGCCAGGCATGGTGGCTCATGCCTGAAATCTCAGTACTTTGGGAGGCTGAGGCAGGTGGATCACTGGAGGTTGGGAGTTCAAGACCAGCCTGGCCAACATGGTGAAACCCCATCTTTACTAAAAATACAAAAAAAATCAGCTGGGTGTGGTGGTGTGTGCCTGTAGTCCTAGCTACTTGGGGAGACTGAGGCAGGAGAATCACTTGAATCTGGGAGGTGGAGGTTGCATTGAGCCAAGATAGCACCACTGCCCTCCAGCCTGGGTGACAAAGCTAGACTCCATTTCAAAAACAGAACAAAACAAAAAAAACTCAGGGCATGGCAAGCCTGGGACTCTAACCCGGGTCTACTATTTTATCACAAGACCTTCAGATGTGCTCTGGGATGGCAGGAATGTTCCCAGGCTACCTCTCCCCAGCCTCCCCGGCTGTGGCCAGTAGACCCATAAATGGACTCAGCCATATCAAGGCTGCGCTCATGCCATCCTATCAGGATAATACTAAAGCCCTCCCTAGGTGCCTGCAAGCACACCGGCCACGGCCTCTCCTTCTCATACTGTGTCCAGCCCGACAGGGCCTCCTGCTCCAACCCTGCCAGCACACTGGGGCTAGCTGTTATCTCCCTGGCTCCCACTCCTGGTGCTGCCCACCTCAGCACTTCAGTGAAACCACCCCCTTTAAATGAACAATCGCCTCCTAATGCCAAATACGGGAGCATTTCACGTCCTCTTTCTCTGATCCCTAACAATGGCTTCCTCCTTCTTCCTTCTGGAAACTCCCTGCCCCTCCGTTTCGGTAACAATGCTTCTCCTGGTTCTTGACCTAAACCTCTTCCCAGCGCCTCCTCCCGGTGCTGTTCGCTGGTGTCTCCTCTCCTCGGATCTCAAGCATGGAAGTGCTCCAGGCTCGTGCCAGGCCTCTCTCTCCCTCTCTCAGGATTGTTGGGGCCCTGTCTTCTTTCTTAATGATTTTTCTGATGTGAAACACCTGTGTGGTAGCCCATGCCTTTGATAGAACCCAGCTTTCTATAGTATCCTGGAAGTATGTTTGCTTTTCCCTTTTCCAACATCAAAGTCTATACCTTGGAGACACTTTTGCTGAAAGTGCAGCACAGATGGCCTCCCTTGCACACATAAAGCAACCACAGATGGGGCTGGTTTTTGCACCGTGCTCTGGAATGTGCCCTGTCCGGGCCCCCAGCCCCTTCCTCCAAGCCCCCCTCCCAGTGGATGGGCCTTGTGGACAAAGGAAATGATAAATCTGGCAGAACCTTACAACTCAAAGCTTTCAACTTTCCTCTAACAACTTTCAACCGAAAACTTCTTAGTCCCATTTCCAAGTAACTTTTCATCCATTACAAAACCCACAAAATTTTCAAAGGGGCTTTGAAATAAGATCACCTAGAAAAAAAAAAAAGCCCATCACAAACGAAAGTCTTTGAAAAGAAAGAGCCCTTTCCTGCGCTTCAGCTCCCCTCTGATATCAGTTTCCCTTTCATTCTGCTGAAAGGTGCAGGGCAGGCCTGGCCCTCAGCAGATGCCTGTGATGTGCGGGAGCCAGTGGCCCAGACGGACAGACAGGGACGTGGAGGAGCGCGAGGGGCACCTCTCACAGAGCGGGGCCGGGCCTTTCATCCCCCTTCAATCAGTCCGCACCGCTCCCCCAACAGCCGCGTTCCTTGTAGCGGCCCGTCCTGCTCAGAGGCCCCGCCGCCCTGCCTGTTTCTGGTCACCGCGGCATTGGTGACAAGGCAGCGCCCTCCTGAGCACGGTGACCCTCTCCAATCGTGTCGCCAGAGTGGGCGGGGAGGTGGGCACGGCAGGGGCAGCCCCTGCTCTGGCCTTTGATAGGACATTTTCCAACTGCCGGCCCTGCGGGCAGTGACTCCAGGCCCACCCCCGCCCTCCCCAGGGTCAGCTGTAGACTCGCAGACGCACATCACACAACGCCCATTTCTGGGAGCCTTTGTTATTTTCAGATTTGAAATCCGTAGTGAAGCTGGTGAGGAAAAGTCCCCTGTACAGGGCTATGGGCCGGTGTGGGGCCACAGGTGGACTCCCTTACTGAACCATTTGTGGATGGGGCCTGGCCCTCAGAGACTACAGTCTGAACACCCAACATTATTATTACTATTTTTGATACAGGGTGTCGATCTGTCATCCAGGCTGGAGTACAATGGTGCCATCACAGCTCAGTGCAGCCTCAAACTCCTGGGCTCAAGCGATCCTCCTACCTTGGCCTCCCAAAACACTGGGATTACAGGTGTGAGCCACCATGCCTGGCCTCAACATTAATTGTGAGCCCAGCGACTCAGGCCTGCATGGAGATGACTCCCAACGACCCCAGGGGAAGAAGTGGGCTCTTTACAACGGCTTGGCCAGGGGCTGCCCTGGCCCCTCTGCCCCCTATGGCCTTCCCAGCGCCTCCCCAGAGGGCATTCTAGGATTAACTAAGCCGTCCTGTGTGCAGGAACCCCCAGAGCCAGAAAAAACCCCAAGACTGAGTCTCCATTATCTGCGACTCCCTTTGTGACCTTCCTCAATAGTCGCTTAACATGCTCATTAAGATTCCTGGGCTCGGGCTGGGTGCGGTGGCTCATGTCTGTAATCCCAGCCCTTTGGGAGGCCAATGCGGGTGGATCACGAGGTCAGGAGTTCGAGACCAGCCTGGTCAAGATGGCAAACCCCATCTCTACTAAAAATACAAAAATTAGCTGGGTGCAGTGGCAGGCACCTGTAATCCCAGCTACTCGGGAGGCTGAGGCAGCAGAACTGCTGCCCAGCTCCCCGGGAAGCGGAGGTTGCGGTGAGCCGAGATCGTGCCACTGCCCTCCAGCCTGGGTGACAAGAGCGAGACTCCATCTCAAAAAAAAAAAAAAGACTCCTGGCCTCCTCCTTTCTAGTCAGGGGCAGAGCATTCCTGGTTTTTTTTAAAATTGCAAACAAAGACTCACTGGGAAAAGGGAACAGCTCTACATTGTAAAACCTCTGCTGTGTGACTCACGACACTGACTCCCAGAGCATGGAGTCGACTGAGAGCTCGACTCTTGACGCCACACAACAATCCTGACACGACATCCTCAGCGACCTTATTAGACACCTAACAAGAGAGGGGACGCGGCAGAGTCACACCGAGGGGCAGCGAGACAAAGAGACAAACAGGGCAGCACACACGGCCTCGGAGGCGGCTCCTCAGACGCAAGGTGCACCGAAGGAGCTACTACAGTTTTATTGTGGGGACTTCAAGACTCACCCAAACAAGTCAGCGCCTGAGTGTGGGTCTCAGGACGGTAGCCTAGATTCTGAATGGTATGGGGGTCAGAGCTGGGCAGAAATGACCGCTCCGTGGTGGGAATGTTCCAGAAGGCTCAGCGAGGGCCTCAGCGTGCCTTCTTCCAGCTCCTGGGCGCTGGCTGCTTTGTGCCTGCTTAGGCTGTCTGTAATGAGAGCCACGTGTGGCCAGGCAGGATCCTGAGGGCGTGGTGTTCTTTGGCCCCACCTTGGTTCAGAATTGAGGTGGTTAAAGTGATGTTTAAAAGGAGCTGGTATTTAGCAGCAGCTCAGCTCTTCAGCCTTCAGGAAACACTTGGGGGCAGCCAGATGCCGTCTAAATTCACTGGAGGCCCACGGCAGGAGGCACAGCGGAGAGATCTTAAGCAGTGGTGGAAGAGGCAGGGGACACAGAAACAGCCCTCTTGGGGCAGATAGATACTTCCCTTCCCCAGGAGCGGTGCTGGGGAGGAGCGGGGCGGGGATGGGCACTGCACACAGGGGCTGTGGGTAACCAGGGCAGCATGAGGCTCTGGTCTTCTCTGCAAGAGGCTGGGTAGCCACGGTGCCAACTCCTGAGGAGGTTGGGCCTGGCCCGCCCTTGGAGATGGGATCCCAGACAAATGCCCTCCACTGATGTCCCCTCCTCAGCAGGAACCCAGACTGCCTAGGCCAAGGTTTCCTCCCTTCACGTCCAAGGGAGGGCTTCTGTCTGCACGTGCTGTGTGGTCCGGCTACCACAGCTCCACTCCCTCAGCGCTGGGGCCCATCGCCTGCAGGGGCGTCATCCACGCAGGCAGGGCGGCGGGGCCTCTGAGTAGGATGGGCCGCTACAAGGAACGCGGCCCCCCTCCCACCCCACACTTACTGAGAGGCAATCCTGTTCTGGAGACACAGATATCAATAGTTTCTGGCCTAGGGGAGTGCACAGGCTAGTGGGAGAGTCAGGATCATAATTACAACAGCTGATATCTATGGAAACTTCAGATGGTCCAGTTGACAGCCCCTCAAGGCTTGGGAGTTCTCTGAGGCCAAGATCTAAGTGCCCAGCTCTGCTCCTCACTGCATTAGTCAGCTCAGGCTGCCAAAATAAAATATCACTGGATGGCTTAAACCAGGGGTCCCCAACCTCTGGGCCACAGACCCAGCCTGTGGCCTGTTAGGAACTAGGCCACACAGCAGGAGGCGAGTGATGGGTGAGTGAGTGAAGCTTCATCTGTATTTGCAACTGCTCCCCATTGCTGGCATTACTGCCTGAGCTCCGCCTCCTGTCAGATCAGTGGCGGCATGAGATTCCCATAGGAGCACGAACCCTGTTGTGAACTGTGCATGAGAGGGATCCAGGTTGTGTACTCCTTATGAGAATCTAATGTCTGATGATCGGAGGTGGAATAGTTTCATCCAGAAACTGCCCCCCCAACTCCTCCTACCCCCATGCATGGAAAAATTCTCTTCCACAAAACCGGTCCCTGATGCCAAAAACGTTGGGGACCACTGGCTTAAACAACAGAAATGCATTCCTCACAGTCAAGGAGGCTGGGACCTCTGAGATCAGTGTGCCAGCACGGGCAGGTTCTGGGGAGGGCTCTCTTCCTGGCTTGCAGACTGCTGCCTTCTTGCCGTGTCCTCACCAGGCAGTGAGCTCTGGTGTCTCTTGTTCATCTTACAAGAGCACTAATCCCATCAGGTGGGCCCCACCCTCACAATCTCATCAAAACCTAATTATCTCCCAAAGGCCCCATCTCCAAACACCATCACAATGGTAATTAGGGCTTCAACCTGTGAATTTGCTGGGGGCACAATTCAGTCCATAAGATCCACGCAGCCTGCACAAAGTGGGCGTTCAGAAACACTGAGTGAACCGAGTGGAGATCGATCCGCCTGTTGTTTCTCTGGCTCCATCTTGCCCGCTAGACCCCAGGGAGTGTTGAATGGAGACAGGCACCCACAGACCTGACTAGCACGCCAGTGGGTCCTCCCACCAGCCTGAGCTCTAATTTTCTGACGGTTTGCTTTCTTCCTCTCACAACATAATCTCCATGATCGCTAGTCTTTCCCGAATGCTGTTGAAAGGCTTGTTGTATTTATCTCCGGAGAATCCACCGTGCCCCTGTGCAATTTTCCATTGTCATGGTTCATTTTAATTTCTTCTAAGGCTGTTGCCCACTCTCGTGTTCAGAAATAGCTTGTTCCACTTAATAAAAGCATTTAAATATGCAGACACGAGAAGTTTCCTTTGCTTGCTCCTAAACATCACAGTAAGTGGAGTGAGTTATACCCCGTGTCCTGCTGTGAGGCTGAGCACAGACCATGTGGCTTCCCAGGAAGGAGAAACTCTGGATCAAAGGCTCAAGGGCAGGAGCAGGATCTGAGAACTTCTGGTGAAAATCCAACCAGCCTGGATGACCACGGCTCACATTTCCCAGCTGGCAGCACCCTGGCTCTCCTGGACTTGCCTCCCTTCTTCATAATGATCAGAGCCGTGGCCAGAAGTCAGCAGGTCTGGATTTGAGAACTGGCCCACTCCTAACTGGCCTTGTGACCTTGCACAAGTCATACCACCTCTCTGAGCCCCTGCTTCTCTCCTTCATCTATAAAGCAGGCAGGACAATCCCTCCTTTGAAAGGCTGATTTCAACAAGCAGTGGGAATCTTCTACTTCCAGGACCTAGCAACGTACCTGGGACAAGGCAGGGGCTCAGCAAATGGCAGCTATTAGTACTTTTAGGGGACCCGAGAATGCAGGAATATTAAGTAGCCTTTTATAAGAAGGATGCTGTGCCAAAGGCACAGTCTTTCTCCATCAGTTTTCTCTGGGTTGCTGCAGCCAGAGACTCCCCCACAGGCTGTGGATTATCAAGAAACAAAAGCAAAGGACTGGAAAGCAGGCTGGATCCTAATTCGAAACCACATCTATGGGAAGTGTAGCTATTGGCTGTGAGACCAAAGCATCACGACCTCTGGTGGCGGGTGGTCTGAATTGCAGGTCAAGTAACAGAGCTGAACCAGGCTCATAGATACAGATAGTGAGGGGCAATGTCGCAGGGCATCTTTCTTTGGCTAAATAATGGCAACGAAGAAGCAAGAGTCCAGGTAATTGGTGGATATCAGCATGGGATTGGGAAGGGGGGTGGCAGAGATGTAAAATCCCTGATAAGAAGGCAGCTGAAGCCCTGTTTTAATGGCTCAGGAAGCTAGTTCCTATCTGGTACCTGGTCCTTCCAGGACCCTGAAGCCTCCTGTCCCACAGAGGAACCCTAAGCTTATATGTGGGGCTGGGTGGGGTAGGCAGGGGAGTACAGGTCAAATATTTTGGGTCACAACTGCCCCAGAGATGAATATTCCACGTAGTAATTGCTAGACTTCCAGCCATGCACAGCTCATGTGGAATACCAATGGCGCCTTGTGAGAAGCCTGGGGATCACCTCCAGGGGCCATTCTCCCTGGAGACACATCTATAAATACCTCCAAGTAAGCCCAGCCAACCCACTCATTCATCTTCATCTGGAATTAGCACTGGCATCAAAATTCTCTTCTATTGTTTATTCACGGGGAGTTAGTTCATGGATTCACTTGAGGTCACATTTAAGTCAGCTGCAGAAATGGGGGACCCTCCAAACCCAGAACTTGGTCACAGCTAGCTGGCAGCTCTCTCCTTCTGCATCTGCCTCCTTCTGAATACAAGATGCCAACCACTCACACAGTCCACGCTGTACAACCCTACTCCCGGGATGACATTCACATTCACATATGCACACACTATCACACAGGTGCACAAGTGTGCACATGTCCACTCACCTACTTACATAACTGAGCCCACACACATGCATTCCACAGAAACCCACACAGCCCCAGCCTTCTTGGACTGCGGGGGGACTCCGGCCCCCACAGGGCAGGAGTAGCTGGCAGACACCCCTCGGCTGGCCCCACAGAATCTTTTCTTTTCCGATGACTCCAGAACACAGAGTCCCCCATGGCCACTTTGAGCTTTCCTCCCAGATACATTTTCCTAAATCAGCCTCCAATCTGACTCATTTCAGTTTTAAAACAAGAAAACATCAACAAACATGATGGAGGGAAACAGATGGTAACAATTACAGGAGGGAGAAAACAGAGCTCGCTCCCCCTACAAGGGGCAGGCAAACATATTGTTCCCCAGACAGCGGACTGTCCTCCTGCCACTAACGTGTAAACCTGGGTGCATGGCTCCCAGGGCTCATCGCCATTGCAGGGGACAGGCCAGCACTGTAGGGTCCATGAGGGATGCTGGGCACCATGAGTCGGGTCCGTTGGAACCTGGGACCTGCCAGGTCCCCAGGGTGGGGAAGGAAAGACATTCCAGCACATCCCAGGCCACCTCACATGAGACATGTCCCGTCTAAGACCCGAGATCAGGGTGGGACAGCTTCCTCCCCTGCACGCTGGGTCCACCTGTGACCAGCTCTTGTCACCTCCTCATGTCACCGTGCAGAAGCCTGTCTCACCCAGGACTGTGAGCTCCTGAGGGCAGGACAAGGTTTCTCACTCAGGGGAGTGGGTAGGAGTAGGACTCTGGAGCCCAGCTGCCTGGTTCAAATCCAAGTTCTGCCACTTTCAAGTAAGGAAAGCCAAGCAAGCTCACAGACCACTCCATGCCCTCCTTTTCTCACCTCTTAAACAGAGATAATTCAAGTACCTACACCATAGAATTATGAACTAATATGTGCAAAGGACTTAGAACCATGCCTGGAACACGTGGGTGCTATATGTGGAAGCTCCCTGTGTTATTACCCATGCAGATGGCTGGCGTCCGGTTGAATGCTCAGCGGGCGTCCTAAAGGCCCCCAAGTGCAGGGATGAGGAGCAGGCCTTAGGCTGGGCTGTGAAGGAAAGACTGAGCATTCCAGGCAGGGGAAGCCCTGCACTGACTTCAGGGCTGGGAGGAGTCACTCCTGTTGTTGGGAGAGTCCAGAAGAGATGGCTAGGGTCCAGGGTCCCGAGTGGGAGTTTTCCATGCTTCGTCCCTCTTGGGACCCATCATTCGCATTTGTCCATCCTTTGTGATTAGGTAGGACAAAGGCTCGGCTCTCCAGCAGATCAGATCGGTGGAGTCAGGTAAGAAAACAGGTGCAACTCAGAGAGATCACATGCTGTGATGTGAGCGGGATGGTGGTGGCCTATCCTGGCCTTGTGAGTCCAGGAAAGCTGCCTGGAGGAGGGGGCTGAGTCCTGACTTCAGGATGAGGGGTGTGGGCATGAACAGAGGGGATGATGTGTTGTGCTGGGCACAGGGAATGTGATGCCTTTGGGGGTCAGAACAACAGGGCATCAAGAGTGAGGGGTTTGAGTCCCTGTTCCTTCATTACTTGAGTGCCCCAGGCAAGGATTTAATGTCTCTGAGCCTCAGTTTCCTCATCTACAAAATGAGAATCACAGTTCCCTGTGTCCCAGGCCTGATGAGAGGGTGCTGGAAGGATGTGCATTGCAGGTGCCCAGCTGGCTTCCAGCACATCCCAAGGGGATGAATGTGGGGGCCACTGTGCACCTGCCTTTTGGACCAGACTTTCTCTCTCACGTGTCCTGTTCTTACATACATTTACACACAAGCTGTCATACTGGTGGCCAGTGTCTCCACCTTCACGCTCCCAGGGATATGTGGTAGCTGCCCCTATTTGGACGCCTGGATATGGTGAGCTGCATTTGACCACCACAGGGAGGAGGGTATGCTGGACCCCCCTTGGTGCCCACTTGATGCCAGTGCACACAGCAGCTTGTCTGGGCACTCCCAAAGTGGAGAGGGGCAGCTTTCTGCTGCACTTCATTTTGGCAGCGCCTTCTCTTCATCTTGAAATATACTGATGCCCTTACTTATTCTCCTGGGGGCTCGGCATCTCCATTCACCTCCATTCTCTCCAGTCTGCATTTCCTGTCTGGGGGGTCTGTCCCATTAGCACCAGGGCTTGAGCGTACTCCTCCTCCCCCTCCCCTCCCCCTCATCTCCTCCTCCTCCTCCTGAGCTCTTCCTCTTCCTCCTTGTCTTCTCCTCCCTTACCTCTCCTCACCCTCCTCTCTTCCTTTTTTCTTCCTAGGTGCTCCTAACTGCAGTTACTGCTGTTTCAGCCCCTGCCAAGGCCATTGCCAAACGTGCTCAGGAGGGCAGGGACTCAGGAGGCCTGAGCTAACCTGGACAAGAGGCTTCTCCCTGCTAGGCCTCATGTGAGAATCAGCAGATGGAAGTCAGCAGCAGGTCTTAGTCCGGCTGGGCTTCCCCAGTCTCTCCCCTGGGAGGTCTGGCTCTGGAAGGCTGTGGGTGGGACCTGGGGCTCTGCTGTAGAGTTCCTCAGCTGCTGCTGCTGCTGCTGCTGGGTGAGAACTGGGCCCCATAGACTGGACGCTTTCCAAGACCAGCCCTCTTCACAGGCAAATGCTTCTCTGCCAGGGGACCGGGGCTTGGAGCACTGCAGTCCCCCGGCCAAGGATGTTCCTGCGGTGGAAGTGTGTGCCTCAAGCTGCCAGCCTGAGCAATGAGAAAGACCTTCCGCCTGGCTCCCTGAACACTGGTTTCATGACGGGAGTCCGGCTTCCCATGCGGGGTCATCCCCGTGGGTAGAATGCACTGGTCAGAGTGGCAGCAGCGCTCCAGCCAGCAGGATGCTGGAGTTCCCATCGCGGCAGCACACACTGGCCTGTTTATACACCCGGCTCTGCGGGCTTGGCCTTCTCTCTTTCAATGATGTTTATCCGGGTTCTGGAACGTTCTTCTCCTGCCTCCCTCTCCCACCTCTGGATGGGGACCCTGTTCCTGCATCTGGTCTTGTTGCCCAGTTGCCACATCACTGTCACCTTTCCAGATGCTCACAAGCCCACTCGACGCTTCCACTTGGATGTCCTGCCTGCACTTCACACTCTGTGTGTCCCGGACTGGCCTCTGCTCTCTCCCTCCCCATCCTGGGTCAGCTCCCTCTGCTGTATGCTCTGTCCCAGAGCTGGCCTCACCACCCTGTTCCTAAAGCAGGAATTTGGGACTTGGCTTTAACTGTCCCCCCACGCCATGCCCCAGCAGCCTTGCCGATGCCCTCCTAAATATTTCCTCTAGCAGCCCTGGCCTCCCTGACCCTCACCTCTGCCTTCTCCTGACCTCCAAGGAGTGTCACCTGGGGTGTCTATCTGAATCTGTTCTTTGTGTGGCAAGGCAGTTCTTTTTCTAAAATGTAAATATGACCATGTCACTCTCCTCCCTAACACCTTCCAATCCCATTGTCGAAGGGATCGAGTGCCAACTCCCTGATGGGCCCCGCTGGCCTCCTGGTGCCCCCTCTCACCACCCCTGGGCTGGCACTTCATGCTCTGCCAGCACCCTCATGTGGTTTGCTGCGTCCAATCTCCACACATCAGCCTAAGCCTGGCCTCTGTGTGTCCACTGGGCCCCCTCACCGAGGCTCGCTCCATCTTATCCTCAGGGACTCAGCTCAGTGGCCTCCCCTCGGAGAAGCCTCCCCTGACAGCTCCCTTCTCTGGCCTCCCTTCATCTGGGTCAGATGCATTTCCCCTGGTTCCCCAGCATGCCCCACAGGAAACCCTGGAGCCTGTATGAGCTACTGGACTCTAAGTCCTATTTGCTCAACCCCATACTTTATACTATGAATTCCTTGGAGGACAGACCATGCCTTATTTCCAGGATAAGGCCTGGTACATAGTAGGTGTTCAGGAAAAGTTGGGAGTGTGAACTAGGCACTAACAGGCTGGGATGAAGCAGTCTGGACTTAATGCCCTTGCTAGCTTTACCAGCGCCCCAGACGTGCTTCCATTTCTCTTTTCCTGGTGCAATTCCAGGGCAAAGGAACTTCTGAGTCCTTTCTAATCAAGCTGTTAATAGGGGAGTCCTGACACCAGACATTGATTTTTCACCAAAGGGGAGGAGGCTTCTCCCCTGTGTTCTGCACCCCAGCAGTCAGTTCAGAGTTTTAGGCTGCAGTCTCTGCTGTTATCATGGGCACAGCCTGCTTCGGCTGCCCTGGGGCCTAATTTCCTCACATCAGTGTCAGTGCCCTCATCCCTGGGATGCTCAGATTTCAAAAGGAGTCACAGCTAAGGCCTCCATGAGTGGACTCATTTCCCTCACCCATTTCTCCCCACTCTCCAATCACTGTGAGGCCCCAGACCCCTCTGAGAACACCCACCACCCTCAAAATTTCCCCAGCGGCCCAGGCTGGAACCAGACCCTTCACACTGCAGGAGAAGCCCGCTCTCGATCCAGCCCCGCAGAAGACCCCAGGTGTGACATATTTAGCTCAGAGCCTCACCTGCTGCAGGAAGAGTCACAGACCTGCTGCTTAAAAGCATTTCATGTATGCTTTCCTTTACCTTCTAGCAGGGGGTGAGCAAGGAGTGGACACCACGTCTAGGGAGCAATGGCTGGAGGCTGTAGCTGGAGCCTCCCACCTGCAACAGAGAGGCTGCCTTTCCCTGGGCCGAGGGGCCTGTGGCTGCCAGGCCTGTATCTGTGCTCCAAGCCCTGTTCCCCTGGAGGGGAAGGACCAGCATCTGCCTGTAAAGGGGGCTGTCTGGCAAGGCATCCTCATTTCTATTCACACAGTTCACGGCCTCTGATGTTCTCAGCAGAGAGGAGTGGTGGCTGCAGAGCTTTTCTCTGGCTTCCTTCCAAATACTTTGGGATTCAGTCACCCTTTCTTCTCCTAGAGGACACAGGTAGCTTGATCAAGCTATGGGTTCAGGAAAGATGTTAAGATTTCAACCCCTGCCTTAATGGATGCCTTCTATATCAGCCAGGGTTCTCCAGAGAAACGGAACTAATAGCATAGAAATTATATATATAATATACGATTTATTATAAGGAATCAGCTCCTGTAACCATGGAGGCCGAGAAGTCCCGCGATCTGCAGTTAGCAAGCTGGAGACCCAGGAGCGGGAACTGGTATAGTTCCAGTCCAAAAGCCTGCAGGCTTGAGACCCAAGAAGAGCGGATGTTTCAGTTCCAGTCCAAAGGCAGCAAAAGACCAATGTCCCAACTCAAAGGCGGTCAGGAGAAACCCCTCTTACTTACAGCAGGGTCAGCTTTTGTTCTGTTCAGGCCGACTGACTGATCGGATGAGGCCTTCCCACATTGGGGAGGGCGAGCTGCTTTACTCAGTCTACTGATTTGAATCTTAATCTCATCCAGAAACACCCTCACGGACACACCCAGGATCATCTTTGGCCCAAATACCTGGGCACCTTGTGGCCTGGTCAAGTTGACATGTAAAATTCACTGTCCCACCATCTACTACAAAGACATTGGCTCTGGCTACAATTTTTATTTGAATCTGTGCTTTGGGCAGGGAGTGTCAAGGCAGGAAAAAAAAAATAAATAAAGGCCCAAACAATAATACTAAGCAGGGCTGGAGAATTCCTTCCATGATGACGGAACTTTTCCTCTGGCACTCCCTTCCCAATAAATAAATCCTGCCCACTCCCAGGAGATGCGGTGTCTGCCTCTTCTCCGCCCCCCAGCAAATAAAAGAAATAACACGCTTCCCAGTCGCAGCTGCTCCACACCTCAGCATATGCTCTGCCTCACTTGCTTCCTCACTGTTAAAATGACAACGGACGCCGTCTTCGGTGCTTCCAACACCCTCGGTTCCCTCTCGCGGCCCGGCCTTCCTACGCTGCTACGTTGTGCATTACCCACAACAGCAAAAATGTTCCACTGGTGGTTTCAAGATTCCTAAAAAAATAGATTCAAAACATCTTTAATACTCTCTGAAGAAGCAATACATCACAGGAAAAGCTGTAACCTTTCCTGTTGCTGATACTATCCAGACTGCGGGCTGATGAGGACGGTAACTGCAGCCAATTCGTATTCTGCGTGGCTGCCGCTGGAGGTGCACAGGAGCTGGTCCACCCACCCTCCACACTCCCAACCAAGGAAGCTGCTGAATTTCTGAGTGTTTGCCTAATGCCCTTTTATATAACCTGAAAAGAGTCACAGTACTTGAAGGCAGTATTTTCCAAGAAACAGCCTTCCCCTATTAACGCAACATCCCTGAAAATAATACTGCTGTTTCTACGGCAGTGACAGGCCCTGCATGGAACGCATTTTTCCTTCCTTTTTTCCCCATCACAGAGCCACGGGCAAGAAGCTGCGGCGGCAGAGCCTCGTCAAAGCCAGCTGGACAGAGGGATGGCTACTTGCATTGTTAAGTAGGAGCGCTTCACAGTGACCATGGGCCAGCCTGGAACTGCCTTCCCCCAGGACGGGGGGACAGGCGTGAGTGGGTGTGAAGCACAGGGAAGCTTCTCTGCCTGGTGATCCCAAGAGGGCCTGCAACAGGTGCCCTGCCTGGCTGAAGGAGGAGGCTGCCGGGAAATCAGACTCGGATTTGCCAGGTTGTTTGAAGGTTAATGTTATGGGTAATCAAAGGGAGGAGACAAAAGACAGAAAAATGGAAACCCTTCAGAACAGTGAAAGGTTTCATTTACCTTTGGTAAATAAAAGTGTGTTCATATTTTCACAAGGATTCTTCTATTTCACCAGCTTACAACTCAAACCGGGCTGGGCAAACACGCTGCGATACGGCGGTCACGGCTGTAATTCAGAGAGAATGCTCAGAAATGGGAAACAAAAACACAAGGCAGGATGCCCCTTTGTGCTGGAAGTCAGAATCTCCATGTGTTCTTCTCGCTGCCCGCCGAGGTCTGAGCGGGGCCCTGCTGTGAATGACCCCGGGAACGGTGCCAGAGTCACACAGACTTGGTGCAGACAACAGAGCTACCTTTCAGGGGCTCTGTGTCCTTGGACAGGTCACTAGACTTCTCTGAACCCGTTCGCTCATTTCCAGAAAGGGATAAGATCTCTCTTACAGTTCATGGGGTGCGCAAGAATGATGGGTGCCAAGCCCATGACCCCAGGTTCTGGCAAGGAATCGGCCTCTCCAAAAATGATGGTTTTTATTATTCTCACTATTCTAGAAAATGTCTTTGTGAATTGTTTGCTTGATTGAAACGGTTTCTTTTTAATAAAATCTTGATTTTAAAAAGCCCGAAGTCACCTCTGTTTTCTTTATTCAGCAGAATAGGATGCGGGGCGAGGACAACATTTAGAGACTTGGTAAATGTTTTTTTCTTTAACTTACATTGCCGTGTGTGTGCGTGTTTCTCCTTTCATCTTTCCCTGGCTCCCCCAATTTAAGAAAGGTTAGTTTAGGTAAAATGAGCATTACAAGGCTCCCACAACCTCCGCAGCCTTTCTGTCACAGGATTAAAGAGAAGAATGAACCCCAGGCTGAGTATGAACTTTTTGTAGGGCTCAAGAGAACAGAACCCCAGGCTGAGGAGGGAGAGGCAGACTTGGAGTGTGGGAGGACAGGGTAAGGGGTGTAACCTCATGGTCAGGCTGCTACTAGGGGAGCATGGCAGAAGCAGACCTGGCTCAGTGGCCAATAGCAGAGAGGTCCACCCTCCAGGCCAGGACCCATAGGTCCAGTGAGGTCTTCCTTGCTGAGAGCTCCAAGGGGACTGACCCTTGGGTCCCTTAGGAGGAGGGATCAAGGCCACCAGAACTGGAAGCCCAGAGGCCACAGTGAGCCTGATTCCCAAAAGAGAAGCAGAGGGGGTCTGGGGAGGGAATATCTGCCATCTTTCATCTGACAGGGGACAGACATAGGCACTGGCTGTGCTGATGAGAAAGGAACAGCGACGCTGACGTGCAGGAAGGCTGGCGCAGCTGAACAAGGTCATGGTCACTTCACTCTAATCTGACATCCTCAGCACGGTCTGTGTCCACGCAGTGACCCTAACAGGTGCATAACCATCAGGCTGCAAATGAGGGGTCTGGGGATGTGAAGCCCCCTAGACTGGAATAATGGGATTTCTCAGAGGGCCCCAGGAGCTGGGGTGGGCAGCCCATGGAAAGTGCAACTTCAGCAACTTCCCTCCGCCCAGAGCACCAGTGCAGGTGCTCCGGCCCGGCTCGCAGGTCCACCGTGAGAGGCAGTGCGGCTCACACAGAGCCCGGGGACGTCCTCCCTGGCCACCGCACCCCTTTCTACAGGCTGACTCAGAGCTCCCTGCAGCAGAGACACACATGAGATGCTCCGAGTGTCCTGACTTGTTCTCTGGCCCCAGAGATACGACTCAGGGTGTCTCAGGATCCCAGGTTGGATGGTCCCAGGGTGGCTGGGGAGGCAGCAACCTCCTCTGGAAGTGGGGTCCCTGGCAGCACCCGGTTCAGTGAAAATGGACGTGAGAGTGAGGCTCTAGGAGGAGGTTGCATTTACACAAGAGCAGAAGTCGAGGCAGCAGTTTTCTCATCTGCAAAATGCTAATAACAAAGCCTGCCCCCGGGCTTGTGAGGATAAGCCGAAGCCCAGGAGAAGGCCTGGCTCATCGCAGACCCACAGTGCGTGCTCCCCAGGCACCAGGTTCAGTGTCTTTCCTGAAAGGGCAACTGGATAGGACGTGGAAGAAGCGCCGAGCTGTGAAAGGAAGCGCAGGTTCTAGGGAGAGGGCTAAGCAGACAGGGAGAGAAGGACCTGATGGCTGGAACGGGCTTTGGAGGAGTCTTGTTTTGCTGGAGGCGGAGCTGACCTGGGGCTGCAGGGAGCAGCACACTCCATTCCCATCATCAATGCCCAGGGCCCAGGGCGCCCCTCTCTTGGGGGCTTACAGCCCACATCTTCCCACCACCGGATGGCTTTGCGGTCCCTGCTGTTTCCTGAACACACCAGCCCACCCTGCCTCAGCCTGGAGCCTGCAATGTTCCTCCCTCAGCGATCAGCGACCCGAGTGACCTCCTTTCTTACCTCCTTGGGTCTCTGCTCAAAGGCAACCACAGAGAGCTCTTTCCGAACCCTACTATTTCAAATCTCACAGCTAACACTCCTTATTCATTTTTCTCCATTGCACTTATCAATATTATGTGTGTGATTCTGAAGAACGCATATTCCCTAGATTTTATGTACAATATTCTCTAAGCCGTTGTCATGTTTACTAATTGTGTTTGCAAATCTTCTATACCTTTATTATTATTATTTTTGTCTGTTTGTTTTGTTGTTTAGAGAATGTGTTAAATATTTCCTACTGTGACTGTGAATTCATTTTTTCCCTTCTAGTTCTGTCAATTTTTGCCTTTTATATTTTGAGGCTATGTTCTATGTTCTGTGAACCCTTTGGGTATCTGAGACAGGTCTCATTTTAGGAAATTTATTTTGCCAAAGTTAAGGACGCATGCCAGTGACACGGCCTCAGGAGGTCCTGATGACATGTGTCCAGGGTGGTCAGGGCACAGGTTGGTTTTATACATTTTAGGGAGACATGAGACATCAATCAATATATGTAAGATGTACATTGGTTCTGCCTGGAAAGGGGTGGGACAACTCAAAGCAGGAAGGGGGTTTCCAAGTCATAGGTAGGTAAGCGACAAATGGGTGCATTGTTTTGAGTTTCTGATTAGCCTTTCCAAAGGAGGCCGTCAGATACGCATCTATCTCAGTGAGCAGAGTGGTGACTTTCAGTTCTATCTGTCCTTTGTCCACAAGGAAATTCCTTGTGAGGGAGGTATGTAGCTTGTTTTTAAAATCTTAGTACTTATCTTTTTTTAAGGGATAGAATGGGAGGCAGGTTGATTCTAAGCAGTTCCCAACTTGACTTTTCCCTTCAGCTTAGTGATTTTGGAGTCCCAAGATTTATTTTCCTTTCACAGTTCTTGGATGCGTACAATTGTTGTATCTTCCTGGTGAGCTGAGAGTGGTGGGTTTTTTTTTTTTTTTTTTTTTTTTTTTGAGATGGAGTCTTGCCCTGCCGCCCAGGCTGGAGTGCAATGGCGCGATCTCGGCTCACTGCAACCTCCACCTCCCGGGTTCAAACGATTCTCCTGCCTCAGCCTCCCGAGTAGCTGGGATTACAGGCGCGTGCCACCACCCCCGGCTAATGTTTGTATTTTTAGTAGAGATGGGGTTTCACCATGTTGGCCAGGCTGGTCTTGAATTCCTGACCTTGTGATCCGCCCACCTCAGCCTCCCAAAGTGCTGGGATCACAGGCACGAGCCACCGTGCCCGGCCAAGGATGGGTTTTTAAAAAATAGTAATTATGAAGTATTGTTTCTTGTCTTAAAGTCAATTTTGTGTGATACTGATGTAGCTACACCTGCTTTTATGCATAGTATATCTTTTTGCCTTCCTCTACCCTTTTCCCTTTAATCTTTCTATACCTTTTCTCTTTTAATGTGTTTTTTATAAATAGCATAGAGTGAGAATTTAAAATTTCAGTCTGAAAAGCTTTGTCTTTTGGTTAGAGCATATACATTTGATGTAATTACTGATGTATTCAGGTTTAAATTGATCATTTTGCTAATGCTCTCTGTGTCTCACTTGTTCTGTGTTCCTTTTATTCTTTTCTCCTTTGTCTTCTTTTGGATTAGGTATTTTGTATTTCATTGTAATATCCATAGATATTACATCCCTCATCCTTGACTTATTGAAGTGTAATATTGATACTTATACTCTCTTCCTTGGCCTTAAAACAATTCAAGGGCCTTAAAATAATTTCATTTCATTTGTTCTCCACCCCATTTCTAAGCCTTTTTTGCATTTATTTCTCTCTATATATGTTGTTTCATAAGAGATTTTTTATCTTTGTATACAATTGATATTTATTTATCTATAGCCTTATTTTTACATTTTTTGTTGCTTTTCATTGCTTCCTGAAACTCTAACCTTTGCTTTGAATTAATTTCATCTGCCTGAAAAATGTACTTTTGGATTTCCTTCAGTGCAGGCTTTCTTTCCTTTTCTTTTCTTTTTTGAGATTGAGACTCGCTCTGTTGCCCAGGCTGGAGTGCAATGGTGTGATCTTGGCTCACTGCAACCTCAGCCTCCCGGGTTCAAGAATTTCTCCTGCCTTAGCCTACTGAGTAGCTGGGATTACAGGCGTTCACCACCATGACCACCTAATTTTTGTATTTTTAGTAGAGACATGGTTTCTCCATGTTGGCCAGGCTGGTCTCCAACTCCTGACCTCAGGTGATCCACCTGCCACGGCCTAAAGTTCTGGGATTACAGGCATGAACCACCACACCCAGCCAGGCTTTCTGGTGACAAATTATTTCACTGTTTGTCTGAACTTTTTAAAAAAATCTTATTTTTGTTCTTTCTTCTAAGGGCATTTTCACTGGGTATAGAATTCCGAGCTGGCAATTTCTTTTAGCACTTTAAAGATATCACACCATTGACTTCTGACTTGCAATGTTTTATTGAGAAGTCAGTTATATATTTTGTCATTGTACTTTTCAAAGTAATCTGTCTTTCCCTTCCACCTGCTTTTTAGATTTTTCTCTGTCTTTAATTTTCAGCAGTTTTACTCTGAATGCCTTGGTTTAGATTTCATTTATCCTGCTTGTAAAGTGTTTCTTGAATCTATGACTTGATATCTTTCAACAGTTTAGAAATGTTCTCACCCATTTTCTTGAAATATTGCTTCTGACACAGTTTCTTCCTCCTCTTTTTCTGGAATCCCAATTATACGTGTGTTAGACATTTTCATTTTAACTCCTACTGCCCCACCTCCCCGCCTTTTTTTGCATTTTTTCTCTGGTCTCTCTTTACTTAAGGTGGATTTTTTTTTCTAATCAATCTTTCAGTTCATAATCCTTTTTTTTTTTTGGTTGCATCTGTTAAACTCGACATTGAATTCTTAATTTGGGGTATTATGTGGTTATTTACATTTGGGTTTTTAAAAAGATATATAGTTTCTGGTTCTCTGCTGAAAATTCCAATTTTGGTCTTTTAACATCTGGAACATGGTAAGCAGAGTTATTTTAAAGTCTGTGTCTGAGAATTCCAATATATCTGGAACCCCTATGGGTCTTTCTATTTTCTGTTGTTTCTACTGATATTTGTTATTGTGGTCTCCTTGTATCTGATTATTTTTGAAATTACGTTACAGATTCTACCTTTGCACATTGTTTTAGAAATAATTTGAGGTCAAGATGGTATCTTTCTCCTAAGATTATTTGTCTGCTTCTGCTGGGCACCTAGGGATACTAGTAATACGGGATCACCTTAATTCATTTTGGAGAACCCAGAGGATTTGAAGCAGAGAGGCAGCTCCTCAGAGGGCCCAGTGTGCAGCCCTTCAGAGTCCCAGGCCAAAGAAAGTACAGGGGTCACTGGAACCCACTGGCCCCCTTGGCAGACTCTGGGTTCCAATCCTGGTCCTCTGACCCTGCAAGCCTGCTGTCAAGCGCCCTGCTCAGCTCTCATCTGTCTCTTAAGAACTGCCAAATACTCCTAGAGGAAAACTGGCTGTAAGCATAAGGCTTACCTCCACGGGCCTCTGTGCTTCCCAGACCCGAATCGAATAGCAGCTCACCGTGTCTTGTTACCTCTCCAATGCCTTCAAGACAATGGTTATTAGACACTACCTGCTTTTCTAACTATCTTCAACAGAAGGCTTGGTCAGCATTTCCTCATTGATCATTTTGAACATGGAACTCGCCAGCACTTATTACCATCTAACATACTAGATATTTTTGTTACTTATTCATTGTCTTTCCATCCACTTGAAGGTAAGCTCCATGTGGGCAGTAATTTTTGTTTATCTTGCTTATTACTCTAACCAAAGCACCTGAAACTGTGCTTGGCACAGAATAAGTGATTAATAAATGGTGAATAAATACATGAATCTATTATCTTACTTTACTGCTGCAAATATTTATCCAACAACATGAACTTGCATTTCTACTTTTGCAGGGGCGAGTGAGGTCCAGAATGGAAGGTGATCTGGGCCCAGTTTCTGTAGTGAATTGAGACACAGTTAGGACCCAGGCTTTCTGCATAGCATTTCAGGGCACCCGCCCCACCACACAGGGCTATTTCTTGTCCCAGGACCAAGCCTTGCAAAGGACAAGTCTGGAGTGATGGCAAGAGGCAATCTGCTGATCATGACTGATGAAACTGAAAATTTCAGAGTCAGAAGCCACATAAGTCCCACAGTGAAAATGCAGACAGAGGGCCTATGGGGAAGTGCGGAACTGAGGAGAGATGACCACGTCTTTAAACTAGCCATTCCCTGCAGCTCATTCCGGACCAAGCCTCTTAAAGCACCAATTTATGAACTTCATTCCAGGAAAAGATGAAGAAAATGTCCATGAAACTTCTCAAAGAGCAGCAGATTCTCCATAAAAGCTCACTCAGATAGTGACAAGATAGGGAGCTGGGAAATCAATTGGTTCTCCAAAGCACACCAGAACGAATACAGCAAGGTGCAATTCAGTACCGAGAGGCCAGCAAGAGTTGAGTTTGGAGCTGAGGCCTGGCCATGGGCCCAACAGACCCAGCAGCAGTATCGCCCCATCCCACCCCAAGACAGTCCCTGACTACTAGCATCCAGTTGAAAGGCTTTATTTCCAAGTGTTGGGAGGAAGGGCTTTGTGGGGTGGGGGAGATGGCCAGCCAGGGATGAGGACTCTCCACTGCTTCTGATACCATGTGATCCCTGAGGGACTGTCAGGGGTATGTGTCACAAAAGCAACTCATCTGCTCTGCCTACCCTCCCTACCTGAGTAATGGACCTCCCGTACCCCCATGTCACTGAAGACAGTAGTGTGGACCATGGGCTCTGGAAAGAAGTGGGGGGTCAGGGGTGGGTTCACATCCAAACAGGAGTCTGATTCCCATTTGCTACTTAGATTAGTGTAGTCTTGCACCAACTATTTAATCTCTTTGTGTCTGGGTTTCCTCACCCATACAATGGGGATAAGTCACTACCTCACGGGTTTTGTTGGAAGGTTGAACCAAATAAACACGCAAAGTGCTTGTAGTAGGCTCTGGCACATGGTAAGAGCGTATTATGTATTTGTCATCATTATTATCATCATCTGTCATGCATGTCTGAAATCCCCCCATTCCCCCTTTTCTCACTATTACCCATCTCTAGGCCACGGTTATCATGAAATTCTGCACCCGGCTCCACACAGGCATCCTTGATTCCTATTCCCTCGCTCCACAACCAGCCGAGGGGGGCGCATTCTGAAGAGCACACCTGCTCTCTATTTCACAAAAACCCATCTGTGGCTCCCCACAGCCCTCAGGATGTGGTCCCAGCTCACCTCTCCAGCTCATCTCTGATTGCTGCCTTCTCCAGTGAAAGGGCTCAATGACTTTTCAGTCCTCACAAGCACCAAGCTTACAACTCTTCACCAGGCGTCTCCAGGGAATTCTCTCTCCCACACTTTCTCCTGGAGCTCTCCAACTCATCCTATAGTCCTCGACTTAGACACAGTGCCCTGCCACTGCAGGCCATCTCCCTCCTGGCTGTAATGCCATAACCACCCCTAGACCACAGGAGTGGGGAATGTTCTATTTACCCTCATGTTCCAGCATCTAGCACACTGCCTGGCATGTTCGAGACACTTAATACATCTGTGTCAAATGAATGAGTGACTAAATGACTGATATCAGGGGAACAGGTTGATAGAATCACAGACAAAATAGAACCCAGTGACTGACTTCAACTCTCAGTGGAGAATCTTCTCGAATGAGCTCTCATACTAAACCTCCATTGTAATTATCCTATTCCCATTCTGAGCACAGGGCTCCCTAAAAACCTGTAAATATTTTATTTCCTAATTGCTTATCTGCACCTTAATCACACAGTAGTTTTATTATTATTATTATCTTTATCGTTATTATTAATGGTGATAAAACAGAGCATATAAGTATTCGTAGAAAAAAACAATTGTGTGATTTAGAATTTTTAATTAATATGAGTTGGGGTTTGTATTGAGTGCTCTGTGCGAGAATGGATAATCCTCAGTGCCTCCCCCAATGGGTTTGGTATCTAAACGCTCCATATTGTAATTCACATCCTAAGGGGCCCACAGCACTTAGAAAATCATCGGTTCTCCAGTTATCTGCTTCCTATCAGCATCGCTTTCTCCAAATGAATGCATTTCAATTAAAGGAAGAATTTAACAGAGTAAATGTGAGGTGTGTATTTTGTGAATTATAGCTCTAACTTTGAATAAAAACAAAACAACAAACATTTTCTGAGCTCCTACGATATTCCAGGCATAGAAGATAAGACAGAGGAAAAAAAAAAGACTGGGCCCTACCTCCAAGGAGACTGCAGTCTTGTAGGGGAAGAAGGATGAACACAAAAATGAAATACTCAGTTGCAAGTCAGGGCAACAGGCAAGAGACCTCACAGGCGCGTGGGAGTTCCTGGTACAGACAGTAAGCTATAGATATGTTTAGGAGAACACAAAATAAAAGACCAAAACTTCACCAGCAGATGCTGTTATTTTCATGTTTACAGACAAAGTTTTACTCTCTTCTGTATGTGGGAACTTCCTCCAAATGACTTCTGTGCATTCCTTTTTCCCTCCCATCATGCTGGGAATGGAGATGGAAATTACTGTCTTTGTGTGGACAACAAAAGGTGACATTTTGGGTCAACTACTGACTACCTGTAGGCTGGAGAATCACCCTCCCGCCCTCCCTCCTTCCTCATCTTGGGACAATTCCGGGGTCCCTAGAAAGAGATGAGTGTGAGAGAATCTAAAGTGACTAAACATATAAATTGGGGGAACGGCAGTTCACATGATGACAGAGGCTTGCTCACAAAAGAAACAAGTTCAGAGCTCTCTAAGGCAGTGGTCCCCAACCTTTTTGGCAGCAGGGACCACTTTTGTGGAAGACAATTTTTCCATGGATGGGGCTGGGGGTGTGGGGAGATGGTTCTGGGATGAAACTGCTCCACCTCAGATCATCGGGTATTAGATTCTCATAAGGAGCATGCAACCTAGATCCCTCACATGCACAGTTCACAATAGGGTTCACGGTCCTATGAGAATCTATTGTCATTGCTGATCTGACAGGAGATGGAGCTCAGGTGGTCATGCTGGCTTGCCTGCCACTCACCTGCTGTGCACCTGTTTCCTAACAGGCCATGGACTGTACTGGTTTGTGGGGGTGGGTGACCCCTGCTCTAAAGAATGTAGTCCCAAATATGTATAAGATAGGGTATGACTGGATTTCAGATATTTCATTAAAAGTAACTTTTCCATTTGGTTCAAGACTAAAAAACCAAAATGGATTGCTAATGGTTCTCCTGGGCAGCCTTTTCTGCATCCCCTCTGCTTCTCAATCCCATCTTCCCTTTGGCATTCCCAGCTTGGGGCAGTGGGAAGAGATTCTTCTCTGGGGTCAGAGTGACCACCTTTCAAATCCCCAGCTGATCTCTGAGCTCCTGTGTGGTCTGGGCAGTGTGCAGGCCCCCTCTGAGTCACCACCTCCTGGTCTGTGTGGTCTGGGCAGTTTGCAGGCCCTCTCTGAGTCACCACCTCCTGGTCTGTGGGTGGCAGAGCCCTGCTGTGGTTTAAATATTTGTGTCTTCTCAAAATCCATGTCAAAACCTAACCCCCAGTGTGATGGTATGAGAAGGGGAAGCCTTAGGGAAGTGATTAGGTCATGAGGGTGGGGCCCTCACCAATGGGATTAGTGCCCTCATATGGGGCTCATGAGACCAGAGCTTGCCCCTTCCACCATGGAGTACAGTTAGAAGGTGCTGTCCATGAGCCAGGCCCAACCCTTACCAGGCACCACATTGGCCGGTGCCTTGATCGTGGGTTTCTCATCTTCCAGGACTGTGAGAAATACATTTCTGTTGTTTCTAAGCCACCCTGTTTACAGTATTTTGTTATGGCAGCCTGAATGGGCTAAGATAAGCCCTAGCTAAGGGTGTCTAAGGGACTAGGACAGTGCCTGCCATTGAGTGTGGGTTCTGCAAGCATCAAGCTCCCTTCTGCTCTCCCTGAGCTGCCCTCAGATGCCCCATAAATGACTCTCCTCTTCCCCTCTGCTTTTATTTCAGTTTAACTTTAGAAGCAAAATTCTCTGATAAAACCAACTCCCATCAAGCAGTGAATGATTTGTTCCCTCAGGAGATTAAAACTGCTAATTGCGTTTATAAGACAAGGAATTTCATAAAGTGATCCTTTAATTGTTAAATCGGTCAGGATGAACACGGAATTTTGGGCAGATTCCTAAGATGCTTTGAGGCAGTGCCTAACCCCGTGCCTTAGATCCCTTGGCTAAACTGAGTTGGAAATTGGGAAAGGCAAGGACACAGTGAGTCACAGGAAGGGCGCCTTGCAATCACACAAGGGACGTGAAACAAAGGAGGCCAGAGACCCCTGCACCCAGCAGCAGAGCGGCTGGGAGGAGGACCTTCCAGCTTTCCTGAGCAGGCTGTGTGCAAGGCCCGGGAACGTTCTGGAATCAATCATCTCTTTTCATTCCTCCCTCTCTCCTTTCTCTCTCTCTCTGCCTCTCTCTCTCTCTCCCTCTCTCTCTCCCTCTCTCTCTCTCTCACGCACACACACACACATACACACACACACACACTAGCTCACGGAATGATCCCCCCACCTGAAACTCCCATACTCTCACTTGTCCTTTAAGACAGGTTTTCCCTTGGCTGGGCACCATGGCTCACACCTGTAATCCCAGCACTTTGGGAGGCTGAGGTGGGCAGATCACTGAGGTCAGGAATTCGAGACCAGCCTGGCCAACATGGCAAAACCCCATCTCTACCAAAAATACAAAAATTAGCCGGGCGTGGTGGTGGGTGCCTAAAATCCCAGCTACTTGGGAGGCTGAGACACGAGAATCACTTGAACCCAGGAGGCAGAGGTTGCAGTGAGCCAAGATCACACCACTGCACTCCAGCCTGGGCGACAGAGTGAGACCCTGTCTCAAAAAAAAAAAAAACGGTTTTCCCAGTTCCTGAGGATTTGGAGGATTTCACGTGTGCTAAGCACCTGAGAAGGAGGAGGGCTTGAATGACTTCTTTGCTTTTATTATAGTTCCTCTTTCTTTTGGGCCTAGAGGCTAGGATATGTGTCTATTTTCATGGGCAGTCTAATCACTAAGGAGTTACATGTTCTGAAAATATACCAAATCGACTTTGTAGCTCAACAAAAACTGAGAGAAGATGAAGGGCAAGGGCTTCTTACGGTCCCTCACCATGCGCAGTTCCTGGGGCGCCGGGGGCTGTGTTCTGTGGAAGGCCTGGTCTGGGCCCTATGAAGCCTCCTTCAGCTGTGATACAAGAGCCGCGTGGAAGTCGCTCCATAAGGGGCAGGTAGGCGGGGTGTGGTGGCTCATGCCTGTGATCTCAGCACTTTGGGAGGCCGAGGTGGGAGGACTGCTTGAGCCCAGGAGTTGAAGACCAGCCTGGGCAGTATAGTGAGACCTCGTCTCTTCAAAAAATTAAAAAATTAGCTGGCTGTGTAGTCCCAGCTACTCAGGAGGCTGAGATGGGAAGATCCCTTGAGCCTGGGAAGCGGAGGTTGTAGTGAGCTGAGACGGTGCCACTGCACTGCAATCTGGGTGACAGGGTGAACCCTGTCTCCAAAAAAAAAAAAAAAAAAAAAAGCAACAAAGGAAAAAGAACAGGGCCACGCTGCCCTCCCAGTGGCTGAGGCCTTACTCCAGGGAAGGCGGTGGCAGGTCAGATCAGGCCTGATCTAGCAGGCAGGGCCAGGTGGAGTTGGGGCGCTCAGCGGACCCTCCCAACAGCCCTTCCTATTTCCCCATCAGAGGGGCCTGGCCCTTGTACTGCAAACGGCTGAGGGGACAACTGCTTCCCTGGCCTTGGCTGCAGCCCACAGCTGGGGGGCAGGAAGCATGGGTCAGGATGGGGACCTCAGGCCGACAGGCAGCAAGGAGCAGGGAGGAGGAGGCACTGGAGAGGCGTGGTAAGGACACCACCTCCAGGGAAGGGGTCCCCTCTAACCTCAGAAGGTCCTCCTTTCTGTCTTCACCCTGCCTCTTGCTCAGATCTATGATGGTCTAAAATGACTCCAAGTGACTTGCTCTCTCTCCATTTTGCAGATGGGCACTCAGTGCTCCAGGGGCCTGAGCTCTCAGGACATGGTAGTGTCAGAACCAGAAGGAAAAGCCCCCCAAGGCCACCTCCAGGGCTCCTGCTGCTGCTGGAGGGAATGCTGTCTCCCAGGAAATCAGTCATTTTCATCACTGTCAAGTCTCTCCCCCTGTGACACTTGCGTCCCAGTGGGGCCATTTATTAGCAAGCCCGGTAACCAGCAGCAACTGCCTCAGTTATAGAGAATAGAAATGATCTTCCAGGCCGGGCGCAGTGGCTCACGCCTGTAATCCCAGCACTCTGGGAGGCCGAGGCAGGCAGATCACAAGGTCAGGAGATCGAGACCATCCTGGCTAACACGGTGAAACCCCGTCTCAACTAAAAATACAGCCAGGCGTGGTGGCGGGCGCCTGTAGTCCCAGCTACTCGGGAGGCCCAGATTGTACCACTGCACTGCAGCCTGGGCGAAAGAGTGAGACTCTGTCTCAAAAAAATAAAAAAAATAAAAAAAATAAAAAAACAAAAAAGAAAGGATCTTCCAGTTGTCCAATGGTCCTTTGTCTAGATGCTTCACACTGGATAGCAACACGGTCCCCTCGGGGGCTGCCCCAGACCCTGAGCACTGAAGACCAGACCCACACTAGAACTGTGCACCCAGTACCCAGGCCTGAGCTCACAGAACCGACTTCATGGTGCTATGGTCAACCTCGCCACAAATCTGGGCACCTCCTCTGGGCACAGTCCCTCTGGAGGAGACGGGGACAATGTTGGGTGGCCAGTGGGGACCCCGTAAGAGCTGTTCCTGCACTGAACTCGGGGATGGGCTGAGTGCAGCCTTCCTTTCCCGCTGGACCGTGAATGCAGCTGCACCAGGGCCTCTGATGGAATCCACCAGGGCTCCTCGGCCTGGCCTGCTCCCCAGGGCTGGACACAATGCTGGACTGGCCTGGAGACAGGGAAGGGCTGGGATGTGGACTCACAGTGTTTACGGCTTTCCTGGGCTCCAGCACCCGAGGAAGGGTATGCTTTCCCGGCCAGCCTCCTCGATCTCCCTCTTTTAGAAAATCAGCACTTTCAGAATTTTTATTCCAAACGTGCCAGGGCCTTTCAAAAGGCCTGGGCCTCAGACCCCACCTGGAAAGCAACTGGCTGGGTAGGAAACCTGGGAAGTGCCTTCAGCTCTGGAATCTGGGATTTTTGTCCCGAGACACAGAGCTCAGGGCCCAGCAGAGGTCCCCCAAGAACTCAGAGGACATGCCCCTGTTCCTGCTGTCAGAGCCCTGACTGCCGCCGCTGTAGCCTTCATCTTCCAGCCCAGGAAACACCTTGACTGCTGGTTGGAGGTGGGATCCAGCCACGTGGGATGAACGGGGTTTCTGGATTGAGGCCCTACCTCTGGCTGCCTTTTCTGGCTCCAGCAGCTACAGAAACTCCTACAGGGTGGGCATTTCTCACGGTTCCAGGGTCCAGGGAAGGCTGTCCAACTTCACTTCTGACCTCAAACCTGCTTTCCTGAGCCCTTGTTTGCCCTGGGGTGGGGGGTCACTTCCCTGACTTTGACCTACCCTGAAGAGAGGCATTGTCCTGACCTCACCCCAGACTGCCCACCATCAGGCTGGGCACAGAGGGTGGCTCACGCCATACTCAGTGACTCATGGATTGGCAAGAGCTGTGATGTCTTTTCCTAAGAAATCAGAGGGGTCTATGAAGCCCCAGAATTGCTGGCAAGTCCAAGCTGGCCTAGGCTGAGCAGACCCTCTCCTGCTTCCTGATCTCACTGAGCCAATGGGGTGTGGCTCCCCTGGGCTGGGCCTGAGTAGCACCTGAGAGCCAACCTCATACACTTCCAGGTCTTCCCTTGACCCGGGATTCAGACCGTGAGGACAGAATATTCCCATGTAGAGGTCGGGAGTGGTGCCTCACGCCTGTAATCCCAGCACTTTTGGAGGCTGAGATGGGTAGACTGCTTGGAGCCCAGGAGTTCGAGACCAGTCTGGGCAACACAGCAAGACCTTGTTCCTTAAAAAAAAAAAAAAAAAAAAATTCACGTAGAGCAGCTGCCTGGAGCTGTCCCTTGGGTAGGAGGGACATTCACCTGCTTTTAAGCCACAGTCACAGCTTTCCTGACCCCCTACCCCTGTTGTGGCTTCCTAAAAGTTCCCCACTGGCCTCACACAGGACTCTGGGCAGAGTGAGGAAGAGCTTCCAGGGTAGGGATGGACGTGTTGACTCAGAGCCAGCCTTTGGGGCCGACCAGGACAGAATGTCTCCAGGAGGCCTCTGTGCAGGAGCCGCAGCCAGTGCTGTTACCAAGAAAAGCGCAAGGAGAAAGGGTAACACAATACGCCTGCTTTGGGCAGGCCCTGGGGCAGGGGGGTGCTGGGACGGATGACTCAGGAGATGCTCTGGGAGGCACAGGAACGACGTCATGTCTTGCCGACGGGCACGGGCTGTCTCTGTGTGTTAGGATGAAAAGGCCCTACACTCTGGCTGTCTCCAAATTCTGGGGAAAATGAGCAGTGGATACTCTGTGCTCGTCATGGCACAGGGGGACCAGGGATGCACTGGGGGACCCTTGCTGTGTCCCCTGCCCCTTCGTGAGTTTCTCCAGGGCAGTGACTGCCATAGCCACTGGATTCTGCTCCCTCTGCCCTGCCTCAGCCCCCGTCAATTGTCCTCCCCTGGCTCCAGAGCCCCAAGAGTGTCCTTCACAGCCTGATATCAAAGCAGCAGCTATTAACTGAGCCCTCCACTACCACCCCCACACTGCGGAGGGCTTGGTGTGCAAACAGCACGGCCCTGTGCAAAGGCTGGGGCATGAATAACAACATGCTCGGATGTGGGATGGAAACCCCTGGGTCTCCATCAGACAAGATCATGTCAGTCAGTGTGGTGGGCTAGCCTGGGAACCTACCAACCTCAGATGCACTACTGAGTGGGGAAGGTGCCCTCACGCTTCTCACTGGGTATCTCAGAGCTAAGAGTAACCCTCCCACCCCAGTGGTCTCATGCAAAGGAACACGTTGATGTTTGCAATCTAGAAGATGTCAGGACATCACAATGAGGTTGGGTGCATGGCTAAGCTCTCACAGACCCTGGCCTGGTCTCGTTTGCAATCATGAGCAAGGCTTCCAAAGACCTCAGACCTGCCATGCTTTCCTGTGGCAAACCACAGAGGGGGAGGCTTGAATACACATGCACATTCCAGGGCAGAATTTTACTCCCTTATGACCACGTAAATTACTTCAACTCCTGTAACTGCCATTAACAAATTATTCATATAAATTCACAAGCCCAGCTTGAAGTCACTGAATACAGACATTTCACTACCAAGGACGCTTTACTCCCACCCAAAACCCACTTAAAATGAATTTTCTCGGCTGAGCAAATCTTGTACCCCGACTTGCCGGGCCCCCTCAATGGTCCTGGGAGACACTCATAAACTCTTCTCCCCTTTTGACGACGCCTTTTTGTGCGGTCTTGGAGCGTGAGTGTTCAGGAGTTAGTATAACACAATCAGTGGCCAGGAGCGCAAACTTGGGGGCAGGATAGACCCCAATTTCAACTCCAAACTATTTGAACATCTGTGAGCTGCAGATTAGCTTCTCTAGGCCTCAGTTTTCTTCTCTATAAAACGGGAATGGCAATACCTACATCACAGGGTTGTTGTGAGGTTTACATGAGATGATACAAAGTGCTTAATGTAGTTTCACATACACTGTAGGCACTCAGCAAGTGATGGTTATCATTCTGTTATCATACTGGCTGTTATTATTCTCACCTAAGTAAAGACAGGATCAAAGGTGGCTGCTTCTGCTCTCTGACTGAGCAGCCAGTACCTGATCAGAGGCGAAGGGTGGATTCTGGCAGAGAGGACTCTGTGGGAGCCAGGGCTTTTCCCCTCTCCCAACCTGATGGGTCCCACTCCTTCTCTGAGCCCCCTTCCTTCTGGCATAGTCTCCCCTCCAGAAGACATCCACTTAAGAAGGGTCCCACAAGTCCCATCCAGGAGTTGATAGAGGCAATTTAATCAAAAGGGCAAAACCGCACAAACAGCTGAGCTGGTAGAGGAACAACGCCCCCTTTGCAGGAAAGCCCGGGAGCCCTGCCAGACAGGCGTGATGTTCAACCTAGAATCTGGCAGATGAAGTGCTCATTACGCTGGAGGATGGGAGCTGCGAACACCCAGTGCCCAGGTTGCAAGACCAAGGCCTTGCAGCTACAGTCGCTGAGTCTTTCAAGCATCTAATCTTTTCTCTCCTTCTCCAGTCCATGTTTTAACAACAGTGTTATTCAATGTGGGCCATCCTGGATAACTTTATTCTGCCCTTAGATCCATGCCTATGAAAGGATACCATGTTGTCCAGACCACCCATAATTCATTATGCTGAGTCCCCTTCCATCCGGAGGCTTAGAAAATTGTTGAAAAGCTGTCACTATAACCTATTGTCACTGCAACCTTTTATGAACCAGCCTACATTTTTATGTCAAAAATTTATCTGAATGGCCTCACAGCTCTTACCTCCAATTACTGCAGTGTCACCAACCTCCAGCTTGGGCTGCATTCTAGCTAACATATGCGGATACATGTCCTCTTCCCTCCTACCCTAGCCTCACATTTAAACAGGGAGCAAGCTTCTGGTTAGTGTGGCGTATCTCCTGCACGTGTGTATGCACACCCTGCAGAATGAAAAGGGGGATGGGGGGCTTGGGCCTTTGGGGTACATCCTAAGGAGGACCCTGGAGTGAGGAACCCAGGCAGCCATGGCTGACCCAGAGCTACTCTATGTAAACCAGCATGCGGACAGAGGCACGGGAGGAGGGACGTGGCGTCGGGCGGGCACACACAAAGAAGCTGGGATCATGTTTCCTTTGTCTTTAAATTACAAACAGTAATGCACACACTCCCTATCCACGGAACCGAAAATGCTGGAGGAAAAAAATTATGCATGCTATTGAGTGCCAATATCTTCATTTATAATTCTTCTTGTTCTGACTTTTCCAAAATACATATGCATATGTGTTTTGTCTGTGTATATGTACACACATGGACTAAAGTACATAAATATTTATATATGTAAATATTTACATGTCATATAAGGATAAATTATTAAATATAGTAAATATTTATATAGAATGTAATATAGAAAAATATTTATATTTCATTATATTAGGTATATATTTTTAAAATATCTATTCAAAGATATTTCACTACTTTAGGAGTCAATGATAGTTGAAAATATAACTAAACAGACATTTCCTTCTATAATTTTTCTTCTTGTTATTACGGATGAGAAAAGCCCCGGTTTCCTCATTTGGAGAGCTCCTTGACATTTTCTACACCAACTTGTAAGGGCTATTTTACTTTCCCTACTTGATAAATGAAGAAACAGGGACCAGGGCATGCTAAGAGACTTAGGCAAGGCTGGGGGCAACACGGGCCTTGAACCCGTATCTTGGAGCTCAGCCCAGAGTCCTTGCCGCAGGCTTCAGATGATTCTGCGGGACATGCATTTATCTTCATCATCCTCTGAGGTTGAGAAACCTACCATTCTCTATTTCTCTTGCCCCTGTCTGCTCCAAAGTAGCTGCTTAAGTAAAAAATACTCCTTAAATAGGAAAGAATGCCTGGGACAGGAATCTTGGAGTTTCCCATGGCCCTTGTTTCATGCAAGCTGGGCTGGGCGATGGCAGCTTCATGGGGCTCCGGGCCAAGCCTGGCTTTCCACTGCCCACACTGCTCTACCCCCAGCCTTCTGGGGCCGAAGAGGGCCACCCCTATGACTTGGGGGACACAGACACTGCAGTTCTAGACCCTCAAGCCTCATCTCAATGCTGGCCACTCGGAACTATCAGGCTCCATCCCATTATTGGAAGAAAGACAGCCCAGGGGCCACGCATGATGAACACTCCCAGTCATAAGCAAAACACAGGGAGCCTTGGCCTCTGCTAAAGCCCTCCCCTGGGCCACCATGGGGCTGCAGACAGGTGCTCTGGATGAGCAGCCTGGAAGTCTTCTCTGCTGCAGACCCCACTGTGCTTGTGAACTTGTGATCAGTCCTTGGAGAGGGGTGATCAGTTCTTTTTGTGACTATGTGGTGATGACTTCCACACAGCTGTCCATGGCTGTAGCAGGCACTGTGCACCAGGGAACGTGATTGGCAGGGAACAGCCAGGGCAGGTGTGTGTGTGTTTGTGCACAGTGTATATGTGAGTGTGCGCACATGCAGTACAATGAATATCATCTGAATTTTCCTTTTTGCTTGAGGCAAACACAAGGATGTTAAACTCTTCCACTCTGTCCTGAAGTCAGTGGGACCTGACTTCAACATCTTGCAAGATCAGTTACTTTGCAAATGATCTTGGTAAATGAACTTCCCTAACCCTCGGTTTTTTTTTATCTTAAAATGGGGATAATAATACCTGCCCTACAGGATTTGATGCAAAATATGTGCAAGGCACTTACTCATGCCTGGCAGGTAGTAAAGATTTAATAAATGCCAGGCATTATTACTGTGCCTCTTATTACCAACCTCTTAGGTACTCAGGCTGGTTATTATTTGTACCCAGGACACCGTTTCCAAACCCTTGAACTTCAGAGCGGCCCAGCCTCATCTCTCACTGACTTTCGGATGCCTCCAAGCCCTGCAGAACCAAGTGTTCCCTGGATGGGAAGGGGGCCTTACTCCTGGCACCAGCTCCAGAGGCATCCTGTGCATCTCTCCCACTGAGATGGAGGAGTGAGGGGGACCAGCCCAGAGGCCATGAACGGGCAGGGTTGCGGAAAGACCACAGGTCGGGGATGGGGACCAGGAAGATGCATCTTCTCTGCAGAAGAACCTACAAGAGCTCCCCATCTCCTTCCCTAGACTGAGAGCATGTCAGGGCTAGAAGGAACCTTACAGAGCCTCATTTTAGAGACGGGTGAACAGGGCCGGGCACGGTGGCTCATGCCTGTAATCCCAGCACTTTGGGAGGCCAAGGCGGGCAGATCACTTGAGGCCAGGAGTTCAAAACCAGTCTGGCCGACACGGTGAAACCCCGTCTCTACTAAAGATACAAAAGTTAGCTAAGCATGGTGGCACAATGCCTATAATCCCAGCTACTTGTGAGGCTGAGGCAGGAGAATCACTTGAACCTGGGAGGCAGAGGTTGCAGTGAGCCAAGATTGTGCCACTGCACTCCAGCCTGGGTGACAGAGCGAGACTCTGTCTCAGAAAAAAAAAAAAAAAAAAAAAAAAAAAAAAAATATATATATATATATATATATATACACACACACACATATATATATACATACACATATACATACACACACACACACACACACACACACACACACACACATATATATATATATGAGAGAGAGAGAGATAGATTGAGAGCGAGATGGGTGAACAGACACGTAGCAAGTTTGCAACCTGGCCCAGAGGAAACAATGCCCTCATCAGACTCTTCCCAGAGATGTGACCTCAATCTCTCTACCTATTATATTGGAAAAATGATAAGCAAATGCCTGCCTAATTGTACCTTTTTAAAAGACAGTCTTCCCTGAACACTTATAAAATATGTGGGCCTGGGTTTCAGAGAGAGCTTGTCCCCCAAAAGCAGAGCCCTCTATATAAAGCAGCAAGCGATCCAGCTCTGAAAAGTATTTTGCTTCTCTTTTCAGTGGGAAGAGACTTCACCATTAGCTCTATTTGATTCTAAACGCAGCCCTGAGCTTTCCTGTATCCCCAGGCACCTATCTGGCTGGGACCACTCCAGAAGTAGCACTTACATGAGTGCCATGAGTAAGAAGGAGGAAAATCTGAAAAATGGGTAAAGTATGTACCAGGAATCCCTTATTTATTTATGTCCTCCTGGGGGAACCTGTTTCTGAGATGAAGAAAATAATTTCGCCGTTGTGTGTAAGAGATGGCTCTGCCCCAGCATCGGAGTCTTCCTATCGCCCTCATTTAGAGGGAGATGCTTGCAGGATAGGGGTTAAAGGCGTGCTAAAGAGGCACATTCCCACGATGGCAGCATACGTCCCCAGACATGATGTGTTCCCGCCAGCACAATCTCATCTTCCATTATGGAGAAGGATGACTCAGCGTGAGGTCTATTTTCTGTTTAGACTTAAGCCACGTTGTGTGCAAGGACAGTGTGGCATGGCCCCTGATAAATCACAGCGAGCCTCCTAGTGACTCTGTTCTGCTCCAACGTGAGTGCGCTTATGAAACGGGTTCCTTCCTCTCCCCTGGGATGCAGCCACCAGGACACCAAGACCTCTGCTCGGAGACAGAGACTCATAGGGGCGTGTTGGTAGCTGAAGCCTGGAGGAGAACTCAAGAAAACCCTTGCAAAATGAGGTGGGCATGATTTAAATCCACTACATTTTTAATCTGCCAACAACCCTAAGGGATAGGGCTGCAGCTGCCTGGCAGGGTCAAAGCAGATGGCAGCAGGGTACAAGGCTGTTGCCCTGCCCCGCCCCCGGCCTGCCCGTCCGGCTGGCTGCCGAGGGTGCTCTATTGTATGCGGCTCAGTTCAAACCACCAACAGACCCAGCTTCTCCATGGCAACCCCAAGCAGGCCGTGCATTCCAGAGGCTATGCTGGCAGCAAATGTGGACCCAATGCCACAAAACGGTGTCCTCCTGACAAACCACGGGGAGTGTGAAAACCTTCTGGAATGCTTCTGAGGAAGAAGCCCGCCCAGGACTAGCTGGGGATGGGATGGGGATGCAGGAGAGTGATTTACAGACAGGGAGTCATGGTGTCTGGAAGGGGCATGCTGCTTGCGTGGGGAGCTCACAATTCACTGGCCTAGCAGCCACCCTGGGAGAGCTGGGATCCTGGTGGAGAGACAGCATGGGAAGGGATGGAGGAGGACCTGCAGAGGGCAGTCTGCAAGATTTGGTGGCTCCAGGGTGTCCAGATGGAGTCCCCTGGCTGTGTGTTGGGGACACTGCCTCCTAGGAGGTCACGTCCTCTGCCCCCCAAGTGACCAGGACACTGCTCCCCTCTACTTGCACCCACACAGTCACACCACAGCCTGGCAGTGCCCGCTGCCTGCCACCCTTCCTGCCCACTCCTTCTCTGCGTCCATCTCTCATCCTTCTACTGCTGACTGTACCTCTGCCAGTGTCCAGCCCCAGGCCTGTGCAGAGACATCTGCCCACCTTCCCAAGCCTTGGCACAGAGAGGGCAGGTAGGAGAACAAAGGGCTATGCCTTGGGTCAGGAATATCAGCATTTGAACCTGTCACTTGGGTTTGAGTGATCTTGGGCAAGTTAGTTAACATGCTGGGACCTCAGTTCCCTTCTCTGTAAAACAGAGACAAAAATGCTGGCTTTGGTAGGGTTTTGTGGGAGAAACGGGATAGGATTATAATACATGGAAAGGCAAATGACGTTGCAGGAAAGAAGGGTTCCTTCCCCTCTCCTTTCCACACCCCACAGCCACTTCCCACACCCCACAGCCCCTTCCCTTCCCAGGCCCTCTGCGGGTGCCTCTTTCTGGGCGCCTGCAACAGAGAACCAAAGTTAGGAAAAGTGATCCTCCAGAAATGGACAGAGAAGTCCACCAGGATATTCCAAACACTCCGTCTCTGTTGTGGTAAACGATGACTTTAATTTACAAAGCACACGAATACTAAATCTTCATGAAATTAAAAACTATATTATTTATGTGAGCGGAAACGGAAAATGGTCTGTAGCTAGCAGCTATCCTGCTTTGTAGGAGGAACACTAAAATAATTAAAACCACTCGTGCTTCAGTAATAAATAATGATAATAAATAAATGTCCTGACCTTAAGCAAAAATATAAAATTAAAACCCATTTGGTATGTAAATTCATTCAGGACACTAGTGTGTCTCCCAGCCCAAGATGATGTAGAATGGGAGCAGCATTCACTACATGAATTTTGAAAGGAAAAGTCAAAGAACAACAGAGTTGTGTGTGCATTGACTCATTATTCTACTTTAATTCCATCTAATGCTTTGTGGAGCCTGGAGGCTGGGACATTAATTTCCTGCTTTTTCTGTTTCACCAATTCCTCATGGAGACCAGGAGAAAGAATTTCAATCCTGGAGGCTGAAATCAGGGGACAGAGAAAACGGCAGGAGAGATGGAGAATTGAAATGCAGGAAGGCCATTTTTAATGTGTTTACAGAAACACGGTGAAAAGAAGTCAGCGAAGAAGGGCACTGGTGTTGGCCGGGGGTGAGCTCCTGAGTGTCTGGGATTAGAACAATCCAGGAGGAACGAAATGTCCCTGGTCTTGGGTCCAGGTGGGAGCCATTCCAGAGCCCGGAGGAGCCGGGCAGGAAGTCTGCGGGCGCCTCAGACTTCAGGAAAACGCGAATTGGTTCCAGATGGTGACACCTCCACCTCTGAGTGCCCGGCTTTACCATGAAATCGCTGCATGTTCCATGAAGCCAGCGACTCCCCGGAGCACTCCCAAATAAGGCCGGTCTGGTAAACAAGGCAACGCGCCAGGCAGAGAAAACAGAACCTTCCCACCTCTGCTGTATAATCAACTCCTCGACACCCCTGTCATTAAATCCCCTCCTCCAAGGGCTGCCACACCCAGCCTTTCATTTCAGTCTCATAACTACCTTGTGAAGTGGACGAGGAAGAGATGGTTATTCCTGTTTGATAGGCAGGGAAACTGAGGCACAAGGGCTCACAGAGAAGACATGGCAGGGAAATGATCAGACCCTTCTCCCAGGCCCGGGCTCTGTGTAATCAGGGAGGGAGGGGCCCTGAAGGAAAAGCTTGTGGACAACAAGCACGTAGGCGACACGCCTGGCCACAGGGTGCCCTGGCCCTCCCACCTCTTATGTGTAAAATGAGGGTCCTCCCTTAGAATTCACTGCCTTGGAGCTGTGCAGGCTGAGATATCTAAACTGTAAGGGCAGCCCCTGGGAGGGCTTTCCGAGGTGAAGACACTGCATTTCACAGCTGGGTTTTAGGTGTCAAGGCACAGTAGATGGGAGCAGGCTCCCTGGACCACCCTGGTCCTGACCCCACGTTCCCCGAGGGGTCTGACGTCCTTCCATCACTTCTCCTCCGCACCACTGCCCCAAAGGAGTGGTGAGAGGAACCACCCCACAGGAAAGGGAGACCCATACACATTCTGCTGTCCAAGGGGACCCAGAAGCACCAGCACCAAACAGATGCACTGAATAGATGCATCTGTTAGACACATAGGCCTGGAGACCGGGCTTGGGGAGAGTAAAAGGGCTGTGCAGCTATTCACCGCAGGCCCTGTTTTCACCCCTCTTGTATGACCACCCCCACTCTTCCACACAGAAAAGAATGTGAAAAATCCAACCCAAACCTTCCAGTGTCTGAATGCTCCCAAGCATCCACAGGGTTAGTAAATAAAACATTGGGATCAGTGACTGATTTTCTTCATTTTTGAGCCTCAGGATCACATTAGAAGTCCTGGACAGTCAACAAGCCACCAGAGGAGGCACGCTGGTGACAAAGATGTTCTTTCTCCAGCCTGCTTGACAACCTCCAGCCCAAGGACTCCCGGGAGCTGGGGTGGCCCCCTTCCCAAAGGACATCTCTAGTCTACTTCAACTTATCTAGGACCTCAATATCCCCACCCGCTCCTGCTTGCTAATTTCTGCATGACTCCACGGTGGACACAAACCACAGCACTCGAGCAGAGAACAATGAAGCCCTGAGAAGACCAGTGGGGTAGCTGGGAAAAGTCTTAAAGACCTACAAAACCAAATGGTGGAAATCTCTCAAGAGAGGCTTTTGGGTCAAGTGTAAAGTTCCTGGACCAACGTGCCTGCAGGGAGGGGACACCAGCTTACCTGCAGAAGGTCACCGGGACTTCCATTCCCCTTTGGGGGCCAGGAGATGGTCTGTTTGCTTCAACAGATTCATAAAGAATCTTGTCCTCTTGGCTGTCCCTGAGAAGGAGCAAGGTCATTGCAAGCTCTTGGTTCTTCCCTCTCTTTTGGGCAGATAAGCCACATCCCTGTCAGGTCTACTATGGAAAGAGGATGGATTCTTGCTTTGCACTAAAAATTCCATGCGACCCCAAAGCAGGGCTGACTTCAGAGGAGACCCAGGCTGCAGCCAGCCTGGCAGGGCCTGCACACATCTCTGTGCTCCTGGAGAGGCCCCCGGCCTGCGGCCATGTGGACCCTGAGCCTCTCTCTGGGCAGCTCAACTGCTAGGTCCCTGCTTGGCTCCCAGGTCAGAATGTTCCCGAGCAGCTGCCCCAGGACACAAATAACAGCTCCAGGAAGCAGAGCTCAGAGACAGCAGGGCTCAGCCTCTAGGACTCCTGGGTCTTAGGGTCAGAGTGGCCTGGAGCTTTGGGTGGGCAACCAGGGGCTCAGGATGGGAATCGGCACCCCTGGGACTAATGGGGCCCTGGAGCCGGGGTCACCAGCCTGATGGCCGGGCTTCTGACGTGCTCCTGTGCCCCTGGCTGGCTCCCTTTGTGAATGCCACTGCTGCTGCAGGCCAGCTGGGGCCACCAACCACTGATGAGGATGGGCCCCTCCAGAGGGTCTCTAATTTCCACAGCAGTGAGTGGGTGCAGCCCGCTTCCAGTAGGTGCTCAAGAAAAGCCCATCATTCACTCATTCAACAAACATTTGCTGAAAACCTTCCGTGCTCCAAGTCACGGCAGATGCCTGTTTGGCAGTCCTAAGGGGAGCTGCTCTGAGGCTAAACGGGCTTGGCAAGAAAGACTTCAGGAAAGAGATGGTTAGGACCAGGTTTCTGGAGATAAAGGAAGAGGAAGGAGTGAGGGCAGAAGCTGAAACGAGCAGCATGAGAATGTGCACCGCTCCCAGGGGGGCTGCCCTGAGGGGCGGGTGGGTGTGGGCAGCAGATGAGGTTGGAACGCGACGAGGAAGGCGAGTTCTATCTTGATTGTGGATGGGGGTCTCTGGAGGGTAGAGAGGGCAGGCTGGAGGGACAGGATGGAGTGCTGGAGACCCATGGGAGGTTTTACAGCAGTCCAGAGGAGACCGGGCGAGGACCTTGGCCAGCACGGTGGCCGAGCAGACGCAGTGACAGGATGGACAGTGGAGAGGTTTAACAACAGAATGGACAGACCTAGAGTAGTCACTGGCTGTGGGGGGTAAGGAGCAGGAGGAGTCAGGGACATGCGGATGGGAACATGGGGGTTGGGATGGGGGCTCCACATCAGGAAACCCAGGGGGAGGCTGAGATGTGAAGAGTCACGTGGGGGAAGAAGTGAGTCTGAAGTGCTGTGGACGCCCAAGGCTCTGCCCAGGAAGCAGCTGTCATGTGGCTCAGGAGCACAGAGAGGGCTGGCCTGGGACGGGACAGGACACAGGAGCCTGCGGACTGTGTCCTGGCTCTTTCCTTGTCCTGTTTAGTCTGCAGGGCAGCCGGAGAGATACAGCTAAATTGCCCCAAGGGCACCGGCCTCTTGTCTGTTCCTCACCCCTCCCTCAGGGCCGTTGCTCCTTTTCACCCCTGGCCTCAACATGCTTGTCCAGATACCCACATGGCTGCCCCTCACCTTGCCAGGTCTTTGCTCAGAGTCCCCTGAGTGTGCTGTTTAAAGTCGCAGCGCTCCCCACCTTCCGGCCTGGCGCTCTCGGACTTCTTTTCCTGCTTTATTTCTCAGACTTCTTTTCCTGCTTTATTTCTCAGGGGGGTCGTTGGGCCATCTGAGATTTCCTGACTTATTTTGTCATCGGCTTTCACCCATTAGCATGTGAGCTCCCAGCGGCAGGGACGTCTGTGGCGATCAGGGCCTCTCACTTCAGCACAGGCACACGGTAGATCCTAAATAAACACTTATCTATGGAGTGAATGAATGCATGGATGTGGGCCTCTGGCTGCCATCGCTGCTGAATAAACGACCACTTGATCTGCTGCTGACTCACGGCGCACTCTCCCTGCCTTGCTTGGGTCCTGGGCCATGTAGGGGATTGGGTTCCAGAAGGGGAGCTAGGGACCCTGGTTCTAGGTGGCCTGGACTTCAGAAGCTGCCCCTGAAGTTCGGGGATGGATCCGCAGCCTCTGTGTGTGGGTGGGGATTTTAGCATGCACTGGGCCATGCTCAGGACCTCGCACAGGTCTGGAGGGGAACCAGGGCCTCGGCATGGCGTCTGTGGCCTGAAAGGAATAAATCCATCCTTGCTTCAAAGGCTCCCAGAGTGTTCAGGTCTTCCACGTCAACCCACATACTTTGGCAGGGGCAGATGCAAAAACAAAACCTACAGGAAACAATCTGGGGAGAGCAGGAGGTGGAGCGTGAAATGGACAAAACATATAGGTCTGAGCTGGAACAAACAGCAGGGAGAAGGACCTGCCCGACCGAGGGCCTTCGAGAAAACCAGAAGCTAGAACTCTGCTTGGGCAGAGGCAAAAAAACTTCAGAATGTGTGCTTCTTTCAAAGCTGCATCCCTCCCTGGTCCCAGGGCAGAGAGAGTATCAGAGGAATACAACAGAAGAAAAGCGGGCAAGGGGCAGGAGCGGGCTTGGGGCCAGGAAGCCCAGCCATGCAGTTGGCTCTTCCATAGATGCTGTGTGACCTTGAACGTCTCCCTTCCCTCTCTAGGCCTCTGCTTTTGTCTGTAAAGTGAGGTGTCTGAACACTGGGCCTTCCAGCACAGCTGGCTGCTCCATTTCCTGGTCTTTAGGCAGCCTCCCTTTGGAAGGGCTGGCTGGGCTCTCCCAGGATGCCAGCTGCATGCCTTTGCAAGTTATCACAATATGGCAGGACCCAGAATAGACGTTGACAGTTGTTCAGTGCACAGCTTGTACAGCTGTACATGGCAGCCTCACCTGCCCTGTGCTTACAGAACTAGCACCCCCTTTAAAGGTCACTGAGTCCCAAATTTGGGAAGGCTCCTGAGAGAATTGTTCTGAGTAACCAGAGTGCTGGATTTAGCTTCTGGACCATGTAACATCCAGATGGCTGCTGAGTTGGACTGTTTGCTCAACTCAGATTTTCCTCTGAGGCAGAGAGGAAAAGCCTACTTCTCTGCAGGTCCCAAATGGGCTTTCTGTCTGCTGACCCTTGTGTTCTAGCCAACAGGGGTGGCAGGAGATCTTCTCTGGGGTCCTGGGGCCAAGGCCGCTCAACTTGGCTCCCACTGAAAAGGCAACCTGCAAATGACTTTGCCACGTTTCACATCTCCACAGCAGTGTGGAGTGGAGCTAAACCGAGGTGGGTGGGTGGCGGGATTCCGGGATAACCCTGGTCCCCAAGGCCACAGCTCCAAGGGTGCCCCACAGGCCCAGGGCCGCCTCCACCTGGACACACCCAGGCCGCCCTATTAATAGACCAGCTGCCAGCGCACTGCCTTCTTCGGAGTTTCCATTTCATGTGCTCTAGATCTGGCTGTCCCAGTGGGGACAGCTTCCTTGCAAAACAAACAGCAAAATCAATATTTCCTTCACCAGGGGAAGTGTAGGCAGGCCAGGCCTTTCTCCATTCCTGCAGGCAAGGCACAAGCCCAGGAACGGGGCGCAAAGGCCGCCTGGCTCATTTCTGCCTCAATTCAGCCATTTGATTATATTAAATTCACAGACATTTATTGAGCAACTTCAACATATCAAACCCCAGTGGGCGGGTGGAGAGAAGAATGAATAAGACGCATCCTGGGGCTCGAGGAACACACGTGTAACCAGGAGACAAACACATAAACCAAGAGCTATGGTGTGACGCGTGAGTGAGGCAGTGAGGATGTGGCCGGGAGGCCCGGTGTCTGAAATCATCAATCTTTGGGTACGGCTGGTGTCTGAGAGTGTGGAGATTGCCTCCTGGTGCCTCTCTCTCGGCAGGCTTAACCGGAGAGCTCTGGGTGAGACTTGTCTTCCGGGGGCTGGTGGGTGCTCCAAGCCAGGCCCGGCACAATTTCACTCTGCCTCTTCTCTGTGGCCTCCAGTCCACCTGCCGGTACAGCCTAGAACAACCCTGGCCTCAAATCTCAGTGCATAAAAAGTCCCGAGGGAGATTGTTAAAAATGCAAATATAGGCCACAGCCCTAGAGACTCAGAATCAATAAACTTTGGTTAGGGGAGAGGCAATGTCTGGGAATCTGCCTGTTCTATAAGCAGGAGGCCTCAGACCACAGTCTAAGAAGCACCACACTGGATCTGGGCTCCTTGGGGCAGGGGCCAGGGAGAGAAGCCCAGAGGTACCACTGCTGTGGTGTGGAGAAAACCCCATGGAAGGGAAACAGACTTGCCTGTGGCTGAAGCATGTGTCTCCAGGGCCCAGGCGGGCAAGGGGAGGCCTGGGAGGCTGAAGGTGGGTGGGGAGCAGCCCTCGGAGCTCTGACTTAGCTGCTGTTGAGAGTGGGCAACCTGAAACTGGTGAGGGGTGCTGAGGCCTGCTCCCAAGTGGGCAGGTGCACCTTCCCACTGGGCCAAGGGAGAGTCCTGGCCATACCAACTCAGCCTCTCTCCTGGGGCCCACTCGATGTTCAGCTTCATGCCGGGCTGGGTGGCAGGGAGGCCAGGAGGAGGAGCAGGCACTGGCACCACCCCAGGGGTGTGTGCAGGGTTGTCAGGCTACTCACAGGGCAGGGGCAAGCCCAAAGTGCATGGCGGGGACCAGGTCATCCAGAATTGTCAGAGGTTACAGAGAAGGATGAGGGAGGTGAGGGCCGTGGATGGGATCTGAGGACAGCAGAGGGCAGGTGAGAGGACTTTTTAGAAATAAACGCGACAGATGAACAGGCTGGAAGACACATGAGAAAAATTGTTACAACGAGGCCAGCACACAAGGCCATTCCTTCCCTAGCCTCTAAATTATTAGTCCATAACAATAAAACACTTTCCCTGCCCATGCGTCAGGATTCTTGGAGGAGCAAGAATGAGAAGGACCACACGGACTTTAGACCCCAGACACGGAACCGCTTAGCAGGCATGTTTTAGGATAATAAAGGAATCTAATGGAGAAGTGGTGCTTCCTTCCCCCAGAGCTCCGATTAGGCTCTGGAATATGGGTGACACGTACGCCGTGGAGGACACAGCGCAGTTAGAATTCTGCCAGCAAACATTCTCAAATATTCATGAAACATGGGACCAGGCCTGACTGTTAACACTGCAACTGGTTCCCTCCAATGGAGTGACAAATGGGCGCCAAGCACTGTCATCTGTCCCTTTGATCTTTCCAGCTCCTGCCAGGCAGTGGAGGGGGGACTCGGGTAGCCCGGGGGAGGCTGGGCTCTCCTGGTGGCTTATATTTCCATGTACGAGGGCTTGAGAACAGCAAATTTCCTCTGACTCTAAGGCAAAATCATTGATTCTCCAAGTCTTACTCCATCAAAAGTGATTAGTGGGGGGCCCTGAGGATTCCACTCCACCACGCTCACCTCCTTTATGAAAGGAGCATTGTTATATACACAAATATCAACGAACAGCACCGGCAAAAAGCAAAATGTCCAAAAAAAAAAAAGTAAATTGGCCTTTGGAAGAAAATAAGGAGGAAAAGAATAAAATGAACTCCTGGCTTCCTTGGTTAAGAGCGTCTTCAGAGCTTCTCGACACGCTGAGAGGGAACCACAGTGCAAAATTGCTGCAATTTAACAGGGCGTCTAATTAAAAGGAGCGACATGAAAGGCCTGTTCTTCCTACTCTGGGTTTGCTTCTTTCTGTGCAGGGATCAAAAGTATGACAACTCTGGGACAAAGAGTTATATCCCCCAACAATAAGACGGAGCACATCAGCTACTGAATGACTGGTTTTTATATCCTTCCGGCCAACAAATGTCGCTGAGGCTTGCGAGATACTCCCTGCTGTTTTAGGAGCTGGGGTCACAGAGAGGAATCAGACACTGGCAGTGCCCGTGGGGGGAAGAGAGCATTTAGACAACTAACTACAATGCGGCGTGTGCTAAGGGAGAGGGGCAGGCAGCCCTCTCGAGGCTGAGGGGCACCAAGGAGGGGCTAAGCTCAAGCACAAGGGCTTCTCCCTCCCCAACATCAGCTAAATGGACGTTTCCTGAGGTCATCCCCCGATCCTTACTTTAAAAAGTAACGCTGGCCGGGCGCGGTGGCTCATGCCTGTAATCCCAGCACTTTGGGAGGCCCAGGTGGACGGATCACCTGAGGTCAGGAGTTCAAGACCAGCTTGGCCAACATGGTGAAACCCCATCTCTACTAAAAAATACAAAAATTAGCCGGGCATGGTGGCAGGTGCCTGTAATCCCAGCTACTTGGGAGGCTGAGGCAGAAGGATTGCTTGAACCCAGGACATGGAGGTTGCAGTGAGCTGAGACCACGCTATTGCACTCCAGCCTGGACAAGAGTCCGTCTCAAAAAAAAAAAAAAAAAAAAAAAGTAATGCTTTTAGGTAGAAGGAATGGGGGGGAGGCTGCTCTTAATGGGTATGGGGATTCCTTTTGGGGTGATAAAGACATTCTGGAACTAGATAGTGGTGATGGTCCCACAGCCTTAGGAATGTACAAAACACCCCTGAATTGTACACTTTAAAATGGCAAATTTTATTTTATGTATCGCTTACCACAATTTTTTTTAAGTAGCATTTTCTGAGGTCACACTCCATTTAAGCTCTGCTTACTTCAAGGGTTCTGCAACAATTCCTGACACAGGGCTGAGAGGTGTCCCTAGATAGTTAAGCCTCCCCAGAGGCCTTCTGTGTGCTCTCGTTCTGCATAGTCCTGGCTCCAGGCTAGGCTTAAACATTGGGAATGAAAAAAGCCCATCAGCCACATCCCAGCCAACCCTTCCAAAGGCCACCAGAACTGCTCCCAACAGCATATCCTCCTGAGCTTCGCCTGGTCTAATTTTAAACTCTCCCCGGTGGTAGAGCAAATAAAGTGCTTCTCCTTCTCTGGAGCAGAGTCTGCTATTGCTTGGAAGTTCGTTTCTGGGAGGGCGGCTGGTGGGCTTGGCACTGTTTCCTTCCTATCACCCCTTGGAGCCTCCGACACCGCCCTCCTGCTTCTAGTTACATATGGGTCCCCTCCCCTTGGTGAGGGAGTTCACCAAGCCAAAAATCTGGGCAGGCTGGCAGGGGTGGGCATGGTGGTGGGGAGCCTGGGGGGCAGAAAGGGAGGAGGTGGAAATAGATCTTTCCTAGGATTTGGCAGAGACCCAAAACCAGATCCTTCCCTTGGATTTGAACTTAGCCACCCAGCAATGAACTCATCATCTGAGCCTCCCCTCTTCTCGTGACTGTGCAAATGTTTAGCTTCACCTTCATGCAGCCGGCAGTCCATCTGTTAACACGCTGGCCAGAACAGGGCCTGGTGGCACAGAACTGACCCAGGAGTAGGTATAATCCTCTCTTCTAAATGTGCTTAATACCATTGATAATCTTGTCACATAAATCTCCCGGTTAGCAGTGAGCTGCAGCTATCACCGCTAGACTCCAAGAATCTTTCAGTAACGGATTCCACCTCCTGTAATCCATCTCCTTTCTTATACCGATTTCAGCTGCCATGTTGCCGAGCACGTGGGAGTACTGCCCTAACCTTTACAGGTGTGGTTTCTTGGCGAGCAGTCACTTGCAGATTAGGCCGACAGAGCCTGTTCATTCAGCCCACTCGGGTGTGTACCCAATCTGACAGCCGTTTCCTGCTCTTGGGGTCTGGTACTACGGTCTGTGTCTTCTGCATAATCTCCTTATTTTAAAGACTGAGTAGGCTGGCGGTGGTGGTTCATGCCTGTAATCCCAGCACTTTGGGAGGCCAAGGTGGGTGGATCACCTGAGTCAGGAGCTCGAGACCAGCCTAGCCAACATGGCGAAACCCCTTCTCCACTAAAAATACAAAAATTAGCTGGGCATGGTGGCAGGCGCCTGTAATCCCAGCTACTCAGGAGGCTGAGGCAGGAGAACCGCTTGAACCTGGGAGGCGGAAGTTGCAGTGAGCTGAAATCGTGTTATTGCACTCCGGCCTGGGCAACATAGCAAGACTCTGTCTCAAAACAAGAAATAATAATAAATAAAATAAAATAAAGGCTGAGTAAAACTTCCTAGACAAAGTGCTGGGCCTCTTGACTTCCTCTGTCCCTCATGGGCACCGCCCCCCTCCGCCCCAGCCTCTGTGCCCAGAGTAAGTCTAGGCACTTTCTCCAGCACTGCCAGTTTGGGATTACAATGTCGCCAAAGGCTTGGAGGGACGTGATGAGCTCAGGCTGTTGCCATGTTCCTCCAAAGAAATTAAACTCAAGTTATTAAATCACTTCCAAGACGTAAATTACGAGCATGAACACCGCTGGGCAGAGCCAATACTTTCCAAATTTGGATCCTCCCTAGTCCCAGAGTTTCTGCCATTCTAATCCCCAGAGGGCGAAGCTGGGAGGAGGGTGCCTGTTTCCAGGAGCAGGGTACGCAGCTCTGCCCCCAGTCCCTGGGCGGTTAAGGAATAAATATCCTTTGAGCAGCACCGCCGCCTGCCCCGGTATGGGCTCTGGGCACCAGCAACAGCTGGGTAAACAGTGGGCTGCCATCTAATTTCATACCCAGGCCCAGGGGAGCAGCTGGAGAAAAACACGGCACAGACCTGGGAGGCCGGCTGGAGCCTGCCTGGGGATCGCTCATCTTCTAAAATAGGCCCATAAGCCTCGGCTGACATTTGGGTATAGTTTCCTCCAGGCAGGTGGGTTTGTGGAGCCCTTCTGTCTCTAGAAGGCCCACCGTGGATCACTGGAACCAGTTCCTTCCTGGAATTCTATAAAATGACCTGCTGGCAATAACACAGTCAAAGCACAGTCTTTAACGGGAAGGAGTGTCCGAGTCCATGAATCTGCCCACTTTTTCTCCTTTCAATTACAACAAGATAAAGAGGAGCAGAGATGGCAGCAAAGAGAATTTTCTTCTGAATTAAAGTCTGTGAGAAGAGGGGAGTGGTTGGGGCTTGGAGCTTTTATTTGGCTTATGTGGTTTTTTGATTTAAAGAATTTCCCTGATGCTCTCTGAGTCTGATCAAGAGCTTTCTGTGAGGGTTATAACCAGTACAGCACGTCTGTTTCCATTTTCTTACTCCAGCTACGTAAGAGTCCCAATGTCGGCTCCCTTTAAATGGAGGCCACATCGAGTGTCTGATCCTACTCACAAGTCTGCCCCTCCTTGGAGACACCACTGCACGTAAATGACGCACCCAGCTCCTTCCCTTCTGAGAGGGACATGGGAGTACTAGAGCTTCTCGCTTTAATCGCCCTTTGAAACTTTTCCAAATTGGAGTCCATATGTTATAGGAAGCAGGCAGGTGATCATTAGGAAGCTTGTAGAAACATTTTTCGACACCAAGGAAGAAGGTGTGATGGTGTTTCATTTCAACTCAGCAGAGACGAGGTCAGCAGGTCAGCCTGCTGCTCCTGGATTAAACTCACAGCATCAAGAGCATGTTTTGCAAAAATCCAGTCCCACGCGGATGGACCTTCTTGAAGGAGATGCTAGGAAGAGACCCTTCCATGGGGTGTCCATGGGGTATCATTTTTCTGGGGCTGCGGCAACAAACGACCACACAGTGGGTGGCTTACAGGACAGAAAGGTCCCTTCTCACAGTTTGGGAGGTCCGAAGTCTGAAGTGAAGCTGTCAGCAGGGCCACACCCCCTCTGGATGCTCCAGGGGAGGGTCCTTTGCCTCTTCCAGTTCTGGTGGCTCCAGGCATTCCTTGCTTTATGGTGGCATCATTCATCTCTGCTCCGTCTTCACGTGGCCTTCTCTGTGTTGTCAAATCTCCTTCTCTGTTCTCTTGTAAAAACACTCGTCATTGGATTTAGGGCCCACCCCAATCTAGATGGTCTCATCTTGAGCCTTACTTTAGTTACCTCTGCAAAGACCCTATTTCCAAACAAGGTCACGTTTAGATATTCTGGGTGGACATATATTTGGCTGGGGGGTGGGGTACTATTTAACCTACTACATGGGGAGTGCCCTGAAAGTAAAATTCTGCTTTCTCATCAGTTTGAATGTTTTCAAGAAGAGATGGGTTCCTTTGGAAGTGGCCCACCTTACCACCCTGAAATATAGCTTAAATCCCTACCTGGATGGGATGGGGAGTGGAACTGGGAAATTGTAGCAAGTTCACAGGTGAGCCAAGAACAGGGTTGGAACACAAAGCCTAGGCAACCCAGTTGTCTCTTCAGCCTATAAACCAGATGACTGGCATCTTGTGAAGTTCCTGGAGGGGCAGGACAATCTCAGGAGGCTGAGAAAGCAACTGCCAAGCCCCCGGGACCCCTGACACCAGGACCCTGAGTCATAGGGGTCCCCGGATCTTCTCACCATCCCCATCCTCCACCCCCACTTCTGGCTCAGTGTTGGCATTCAGAAATGTTAAATAACAATAATAATAATAATACATCTGAGTGTGACGCTTTAATAGCCAATCTGTCATTTTCCTACTTTATTTCTGAGATTTTAAGAATGGAGCCCTTCCTGCACAAAACATCAGGGTGCATTTATATTAAAAAATGAAACTAATTAAAATGTTTGAAAACCATAAAGCACACCACCATAAAACAGCAGCAGCCCTATTTTTCCATTCGAGAAAGATTTTTCTTCTTCATTTTGTGGCCTGCCCTGATGAGAAAACTATTGGCGCTGGGAGTCACTGGAGGCGTGAGGCTGATAGGAGCTGTTTTGCCCCTGAGCACTGCCTTTGCTCCTAGACCCTGGCGTGGTATCTGAGGCCACAAAGCTGGAGCAGCCAGAGGGTTGGACTCAGATGGAGAAGGCTGGAGGACAAACTACCCTCAAGGTAATCAGAAAGCAACCCACTTGATGAGTGGTTGTGTTGTGGGAGAGTTTTTCAAAGGTGGAGCTTAGAAGGTGAACACCAGCACTTAAAAACGGCACAATGAACCCTGAACCTCAAATAAAAGTTTTTTTTTTTTTTTTTTGAGGCAGAGTTTCATTCTTGTTGCCCAGGCTGGAGTGCAATGGTGTGGTCTTGGCTCACTGCAACCTCCACCTCCCGGGTTCAAGCGATTCTCCTGCCTCAGCCTCCCAAGTAGCTGGGATTACAGGTACGCACTACCACGCCCGGCTACTTTTTTTGTATTTTTAGTAGAGATGGGGTTTCACCATGTTGGCCAGGCTGGTCTTGAACTCCTGACCTCAAGTGATCCGCCCACCTCGGCCTCCCAAAGTGCTGGGATTATAGGCGTGAGCCACTGCCTCCAGCCTAAAAGTTTTTAAAAAGCCCCAGCACAATGCAGTACCAGGTGTGCGTGGCCACAGTGGAAGGCGGATCAGGAGTCACCGCCTGGGACTCAGCGCACACTCCATCGCAAGTGGAGTCATTGACATTAGGGAAGCTGCCTTCCCAGAGGTTCATCCTCAACCAGCTGAGCCATAGAACCTCCTAAGTTAACAAAGCATGAGTATTTGTTGAATGAATACATGAAAGAGAATCCATGTGATGTTCAAAACGGTGGGAAGGAAGACCGGGTGGGGAGTGGGGACTGGAAAGGAGGACCAATCATATACATGGAGATGCTCAAGTGTACTCAAGCCATGCCACGGTGCAAGGGGTGTCTGACTTCCTCAGAAGAACATGGAGAAACCAGAAGATGTCATTGTTTAAATGCTACACTCCTTATTTTCTCGGATGTGAGTCTATTTCTTTAAAAAAAAAATAAGCCTCCAGGAATTTATTCTTAAGACAGAATTTGTATTTCACTATGATCACCAGCATTTATTGGGCACTTACTGTTTGCTTAGAATGGGCTAGATTTTATTTTTAATTTTTTGAGACACAGTCTTGCTGTGTCACCAGGCTGGAGTGCAGTGGCGTGATCTCGGCTCACTGCAACCTCCTCCTCCTGGGTTCAAGCAATCCTGTTGCCTCAGCCTCCTGAGTAGCTAGGACTACAGGCGCCTGCCACCACGCTAAGCTAATTTTTTGTATTCTTAGTAGAGACAAGGTTTCACCATGTTGGCCAGGATGGTCTTGATCTCTTGACCTTGTGATCCACCTGCCTCGGCCTCCTAAAGCACTGGGATTACAGGTGTGAGCCACCGCGCCTGGCCTAATGGGCTAGATTTTTTTTATGAGACGGAGTCTCACTCTGTCACCCAGGCTGGAGTGCAGTGGCGTGATCTCGGCTCACTGCAACCTCCTCCTCCTGGGTTCAAGCAATCCTGTTGCCTCAGCCTCCTGAGTAGCTAGGACTACAGGCGCCTGCCACCACGCTAAGCTAATTTTTTGTATTCTTAGTAGAGACAAGGTTTCACCATGTTGGCCAGGATGGTCTTGATCTCTTGACCTTGTGATCCACCTGCCTCGGCCTCCTAAAGCACTGGGATTACAGGTGTGAGCCACCGCGCCTGGCCTAATGGGCTAGATCTTTTTTATGAGACAGAGTCTCACTCTGTCACCCAGGCTGGAGTGCAGTGGCGTGATCTCGGCTCACTGCAAGCTCTGCCTCCTGGGTTCACGCCATTCTCCTGCCTCAGCCTCCAGAGTAGCTGGGACTACAGGCGCCTGCCACCATGCCCGGCTAGCTTTTTTTGTATTTTTAGTAGAGACAGGGTTTCACCATGTTAGCCAGGATGGTCTTGATCTCCTGACCTCGTGATCGGCCCGCCTCAGCTTCCCAAAGTGCTGGGATTACAGGCGTGAGCCACCGCGCCCGGCCTGGTCTAGATTTTTTACGTGGAATTTCTTTTAAGGCAGTACTGTTGTTATCTCCATTTTATAGATGAGGAAAAAGAGGCCACACAATGGTTAAGCAGCTTACCAGTGGAATGAACCCAAGGCTGCCTGTCTTTAAGGCCAGAGTTCCTTCTGATTTGTGTTCTGCCTGGCGCAGAACCAGGGGTCACTCACACATGCTCCAGCTGAACTCACCCGCATCAGGGTTGGGGCATGCAGCTGATATTTGGCTGAAATGTAAGACCCATGGGGGCGGGGGTGCAGAGGTGACAGATGAGGCTTGGTGAAGCCAGAAGAGGTGGGATCGCCAAGGGTCTTAAGCCACTTTTCCTTCAGGGCAAGTATGGAGTAACTGCACATTTAGAAAAAAAAGGATGGATGTGACAGAGTGGGCAGATTGGAGGCAGGAAGCTAGAAGAGGCAATTTCTGTCCCCTCAAGTGAGATATGATGGGCCTGGACTATGGCAGTGGAAGTGGGACTGGAGGGAAAAGGGTAGACTCCAGAAATCTACTAAGGTGGACCTCAGCTCACTGATGGGTAGTAATGAGGATGGCGAGGGAGGGAAGAGTCATGTGGCTGCACCTGCTGGGTGGGCGGGAAACCTGAGCCCTGAGCCAGGCATGCAGAAGAAGGCACAGCTTTGAGGCTGAGGATATGGAGCTCCATTCTGGGAATTTTATATCTGAGGTTCTGGCAGATACCTAAGGGCAGACATCTGGGGAAAAGAACTGGGAGTTAGAGTCACAGGCTTCGAAGTAAAAAAGGTCTGAGTTCAAGCCCCGTTTCCATAATACCACGTATGAGCTAGCGCATTGAGCAAGTTCTCAGGCTTTCCAAAACTCAGTTTCCTTGTGTGTAAATGGGCAGAACTGTAGACTTACCACATGGGGTTGCTCTAAGAATGGAGACAAAACATGGAAAGCTCTTGGCACAGGGCCTGGCCCTCCACAAATGGCTTAAAAAACAAAAGAACAATGACAACAAAAACAACCATAACCACAACCACCAACAAACAGAACGGGAGCCGGAGTCCAGGACTGGCGGGGGCACGGGTTCTGGGCTTGAGAACATCAGATAGAGGCGATGATTTCCCATTTCATGGAGGCACAGCAAGTGCTCTGCAAAATGCCTGACTTTGGGATTCCTTTAATTAGCGAGGTGCTACATGCATGCCAATACATGTCTAATTGATCTGTAGACTGTTGAGTACTATTGCCGAGATGCCTGCCACACAAAGGATGAGAGGCAGCCACGGGGCTCCTCTGAAATGAGAATATACGACCGTGGAAAAGAAATATAATTTTCAAAAGTGCACAGCTGTTTTTCAGTAAAGCGAGTGGATTTCCATGACTACACCTTCTACCCACAATTCAACTTGATAATTCAACACATATTTACTGAGCACATAACAGGCAAGCGGGAGGTGCCAGCAATGCAGAACCTAAGAGGACAGGTCTTTTGTCTCAAGGACCTTCATTCTAGAGGGAAAGAGACAGGCAGAGAGGAGGAGGTCACACAATGAAGACGATGGTAATAATAACAGATCATGCTTACAGAGTCTGCTCTGGATGCCAGACACTGATGTAAGTGCTTTGTATTATTAATTCATTTAATTTTCCCCACAAGCCAATGAAATGGATAGTATTATTCTCTCATTTTATAGAAGAGGAAACCAATGTTCTGAGAGGGTAAGCAACTTGCTAAGGTCACACAGTTAGAAAGTGGGAGAGTCCGGATGCAATCTTGGACAGTTTGAATCTAGAGTCTGGGCTCCTAATCCCATCGCTGTGCAGGCCAAGAGGTGTGTTAAGTACTTATGTTGCTGGTGTGCAATGGTACCCCAGCTAGGATTAATGTGGTTGGCTAAGCGACTGACGGTTTCACCTGCATGCAGAGAAACCTCTTGGCCCTGACTGCCTCTCAAATCACAACAGCTTCTTCCTGTCTCTTGGCACCCTCAGGCATGCCATAGGACAGAAGTCAAACTGGAAATCCAGGGACAAACAACACTCCAATGATAGGGAGGAATCGCATAATTTACTGATGCTCAGTGGCTTCAGAATGGCCCACGAGGTCGGCCATGGTCACAGGAAGCTTTCTTCTGCTCCTGGAGTCCCTCGATGGCACAGGGTCAGATCTCAAGGGCATTCCGAACAGAGACAGGATGAGCATCTGCCTGCTTCTGCCCTACTCTCCTTTCAGATTTTCCTTGGAGGCAGCCACCCCCGCTCCAAGCCAAGTTCTGGGCTTTGATAACTAAATGACAGACCTGACTCTGGCCAGGAAGCCCTACTGATCTTTCTTTTCTTTTTTTTTTTTTTGAGATGAAGTTTCGCTCTAGTCACCCAGGCTGGAGTGCAGTGGCATGATCCTGGCTCACTGCAACCTCTGCCTCCCAGGTTCAAGCAATTCTCTTGCCTCAGCCTCCAGAGTAGCTGGGATTACAGGTGCCCAACACCACGCCCAGCTAATTTTTGTATTTTTAGTAGAGACAGGGGTTTCGCCATGTTTGCCAGGCTGGTCTTGAAGTCCTGATCTCAGGTGACCCACCCGCCTCAGCCTCCCGAAGTGTTGAGATTACAGGTGTGAGCCACCGCGCATGGCCCCACCCCCCTTTTATTTAGAGAGTCCTGCTCTGTTGCCCAGGCTGGAGTGCAATGGAGCAATCTCAGCTCACTGCAACCTCCGCCTCCTGGGTTCAGGCGATTCTCCTGCCTCAGCATCCCGAGCAGCTGAGATTAAAGACTCATACCACCATGCCCGGCTATTTCGTGTATTTTTAGTAGAGAAGGGGGTTTCACCATGTTGGCCAGGCTGGTCTCGAACTCCTGACCTCAGGTGATCCGCCCACCTCGGCCTCCCAAAGTGCTGGGATTATAGGCGTGAGCGACTGCACTGGCTCCTACTGGTCTTTCATGGAGCCACGTGGAGACACCAGGTCTGAACTAAAGAAGACGCACTGCAGTGGGGCCGCCTGTGAAGCTCCAGGCTGCCTTCCATCCTGGGGCCTTGAGGATCTGGAGGCACAGCCAGCAGGTGGTGGAGTCCTTCAGGACAGGACAGCAGGACTGAAAAGCCCACCTGAAGATGGGTGGTGGCCGGACACCCTGGCTCTTCCACCAGGGACAAAGCTGCTGGTGCCTGACTGACTATCTGACCGCGGGTCTATCAAGGCTCAAGTCTTTGCCACTGAGGGGGCCAGAGGTGGGTGTGAGTGGTGGTGGGAAGGCTGCTGCCAACTCAGATGCCACCAGAGTTCCAGCGACTGGAGGCGAGGGACACAGAATATCTGGACTTGGGAAGATTTTGGAGGAAAAACGCACAGTCCATTGCTGGACGCGGCGGTTACTAATTTCTGCTCGGTGCTCATTTTACAAAGCCATCGGCCGTGCCAGATGCAGACTTCCCCTGTGGTCCGGTGAGTGGTCAGATCAATGGGGCCCCATCAGCCCGGTGAGGGAACTGCTGGGATCTCAAAAATGGATAATCCCAAATTCCAAGCACCAGTTTCTTCCTCAATTATTTACAAGGAACCCGATGTGGTACATGGAACCTAATTCAGAACGCCTTTTTAATGTCATTATAACACAATATTCATAACGTTCCCTTCTAATCTCAGCAGATGACAAGTTGCCACTATTGAATTCCCATTAATATGAGTTATGGGTACAATATATTTTGCTCAATATCATCTCCTCAGCCTAATATCGTGGAAGAATAAAACTCACACGCTCAGCATATTTCGTTTTTTTTTTTTTTTTTTTTGAGATAGAGTCTTGCTCTGTTGCCCAGGCTGGAGTGCAATGGTGCTATCTTGGCTCACTGCAACCTCTGCCTCCTGGGTTCAAGCGATTCTCCTGCTTCAGCCTCCCAAGCAGCTGAGATTACAGGTGCCAGCCACCACGCCCAGCTAATTTTCACATTTTTACTAGAGACGGCGTTTCACTATGTTGGTCAGGCTGGTCTCAAACTCCTGACCTCAGGTGATCCACCCGCCTCGGCCTCCCAAGGTGTTGGGACTCCAGGCGTGAGCCACTGGGCGCGGCCCCCCTCAGCATATTTCTAATGGAAGAGGCGATGGTGACGCAGTATAGCTGAGGCCTCACTTTCAGCCCAGCTCTTGCGGGTGCTAGAGGAATTGACCACAAACGTGCTCCCCATTGCTCTGGCATCCACCAGGGAGTCTATCTGCCAGGCTCTGTGCTCCTGGCTGGGTGGAGGTTCCTGCGCCGGGTGGAGTGGGCAGGTTCTGGAGCTCCGGTGGGTGAGCTGCTGGGGCCTGCATCTTTTCCCCTCTCTCTCTCCTCCTCTATCACTTTCTTCTCAGGATCAAACTCACCTTCAAAGCAGGGGCTGTTTCTGCCCTGAGGCAGGCCTGTGTCTCCACATTGCCAGCAGCATCATAAAAAGGCCGTGAACCCAGTTCTGGGGTTCTGTGACCCTGGGCATGATACCACCTCCCAAGGTTATTTAATGAGGATAGTTACGGCCCCAACCTCATGCAATTGTGAGACTGGGGAGGGTTCACAGGCAAAAACACTTGGAGCCGTGGCTGGTTCCCAGTGAGCACTCAATAAATGTCAGTGATGGTGACAATGACAATGATGATGCTGGCAGCAACCCCAAGGACACATCCTAGGTCCTGGCTGGCTGGCAGTCCAGACTTGCTTCTTAGAATGGTTGCTGACTGCACAGGGTTAAAGTGTACACTTGTGCCAGGCGCATATTTCTAGCCCAGAGCTGGGCTCTGGTGGGCTTGATGCTGGTGAGACATATAACCTGCCTCTGAATATGGATAGCTAAGGCCTCACCTTCGGCTCCGCTCTCTGGGGTGCTAGAGAAATGGACCACAAAAACGCTCCTCCACGGCTCTGGTGTCCACCACAACCCTCTTTCTTAAGGGCCTGACCCGCCCACTGTGCTTGGCAGTAAACTTGCGGCCGGCCAGGCAGCTCCGAGCCTGCAGAGCTGCTGCTGTTGGGGGAGGAGCAAATGGGAGAGGGGAGAGGCTGTCTACCCAGATCAGGTTACCTGGTGAGTCCTGATGGGGGTCCTCAGCCGTGCTGACTCCACATTTTCCCAGGAACCTTCCCTGGGGGCTGGGCCACCCTCCCACCCATTCCTCAGGAGTCCTTCCTTGTAACCGGCCCAGCACACACTGGTCTGCATGAAGACCCATCATCTGATGGGCTTCTGTTCTGCTCCCTGTGACCGACACCCCCATTTCTCTTCATCAAGGAAATGGCGTGGTGGGTCAGCTGTCCCTGAATTTATGCTCAGACATTGCTTCTCTCTTCCCATGGTGGGTATTCATTCATTCATTATTCTTTGAGTTTTCTTTCTTTTCCACTGTGGTAAAATATGCTAACATAAAATTTGCCATTTTCCCCATTTTCAAGCGTACAGTTTAGTGGCATTCACTGCAGTCACAGTGCCATGTGACTGTCACCACTATTTCCAAAGCTTTTGTATCATCCCAAACAGAAACTCTACCCATTAAGCAAAACCTCCCTGTCCCTTCCCTCCACGCCAGCCACTGGTAACCTCTAACCTACCTTTTGTCTCCACGAACCAGGGCATTTATTTTAATAAAGCGCGTTCACCCAGCTGTTTCATTTAGACCCCACAACAGCCCGGTGAGGTGGACATTCTTGTGCACAGCTTGTAGATAAGGAAACAGTCTCAGAGAGCTTCGGCGTTCCACCTTAAAGTCATTCAGCCGGTCAAGTACGAACATGGGTCCTGACCGCCACCTCCTGACTCCAGCCTAGGGTGCTTTTCATCACTCCTAGCAGCCCCCTCAAATAGGGTCTCTCCTTCTCCATCCCAGGAAAGATCTCATGGGAACAGGGCTTGAGATGAAAACCATAACCACAGTGACCTTTTCCTTCTTCCCTCTCCTCCTCCAAAGTGGCGCTGAGCTCACAGGGAAGACAGTGGCAAATCGTGGCTGCTCTGCCCCCAACATACACAAACATCCTGCCAATGATTCTGCTGCACCCCCACTTCCCAGCCCAGGTTCAAATCCACCAAGAACGACCGAGGGACCAGCAAGAGGGAGCTGCTTCCCTGAGCTTGGATATATTCAAGGCCTGCCCAGCAACACCTGCAGATGGTCCTGATGGCCGTGACTGCCCTTCTGCGAAGGAACTGGGCCAACACCTCTGAAAGCGGGGGCTGGAGTGCAAACACTGGCCATGCACTATGTCTTGGGGGCAAAACAAGAAACCCTCAGAAAGAAAGAGAGGCCGGGGCTTTAAGGCCCAACGGTCCCCAAGCATCATGCACCGGAGTGCTATCTGTACCACCCCACCTGGCTGTTAAGGAAAAACGGTCGCCTGATCAGACAAAAAATGAAGAGGACTGCAGCTGGCTGTTTATGAGGTCTGGGGCTGGACCATGCGATCCTTGTACCTTTTGATCCTGACATTTGTTGGTTGTTTCAAACCCTGATGAGCAAAACTGTTCTGTGGGGAGTCTGTGGCTGCACCTTCCGGTCGTGTCGCCAGCACTAGGGAAGGATATGCCTCGAACCTGTACGCAGCCAGCTGCTCATCCAACCAATTTCACCAGGGTTGTCCTGGACTGGGCCTACCCAGAGCTCTAGGTGATGAATCCCACTCTGCTGAGTGATCTGGGGCAAGTTCCTTAGTCTTTCTCATCTCTGAAGTGGTGCTAATAATAATTACTCGGAGAGTTATAATGAGGATTTAAAAAGTTCACATTGGTAAAGTACTTAGAACAGTGCCTGCAACAAAGTAATTACTAGATGAGTGCCTTAAATAAAATAAATAAATGCAAAAAGCTGCAGAGAATTACAGGCAAGTCAGAGTAAAATCTTGAGAAGATGCAAATATTTGAAGGAAAAGGCTGTGATACTGTGACTGCAAATGCTCCAGGAGAGATGGGAAGGGCACAGTAACTGCAGCAAAAGCTCCAATGATGTAAAATCTGCGCCCCCGACACAGCTTCATCATCCGGGCTCAGGCCCAACTACGAACCCGTGAGGCTTCATGCTAGCTCACCACGGGGTTACGTCTTCATCATCCTCATCACGGCACCCACAGAAATTACTGTTTTTGGGCCGGGCGCGGTGGCTCACGCCTGTAATCCCAGCACTTTGGGAGGCCGAGGCGGGCGGATCACGAGGTCAGGAGATCGAGACCATGGTGAAACCCCGTCTCTACTAAAAATATAAAAAATTAGCCAGGCGCGGAGGCGGGTGCCTGTAGTCCCAGCTACTCAGGAGGCTGAGGCAGAAGAATGGTGTGAACCCGGGAAGCAGAGCTTGCAGTGAGCTGAGATCGTGCCACTGCACTCCAGCCTGGGTGACAGAGCGAGACTCCGTCTCAAAAAAAAAAAAAAAAAAGAAATCACTGTTTTTGGAGGCTGCTCCACTATCTTCTCTCAGGTAGTAGGTAAGTTGAGATGATGTCAAAGGATTCATCTTCCCTAACCCAACAATAGTGGCTAAATAAATTAATAAATATTCATATATATTAATCCATTCATTCTGTCCTCAAACACATATTGAGAGCCTCTATAGACTGGGCATCACGGGCAGCTGACTTTTACAGAGTTCGCTGCCTCATAAGGAGACAAATAAATAAATGGGTAAGTTTCACATAATATTCATGTATTATAATAGGAACGTAAGCAAAAATTATTATAGGAACAAGAGAAACAATAGCAAAAAATGTTTTCCCATCACAGGGGGTGGTAACCTTTAGGCTCTCAGTTGTAGGATGAACAGGAGTTTTTGTGGGCAGGAAAGAGAGGAAATGACAATGCTAGGAAGACGGAGTGGCAGGTGCAAAGGCCCTAGGGCATGAGAGATCTTCCTGTTTGGGAATTTCAGCGTGGCTAAAGTGGGTGGTGGGGTGACGCTCTCCAGTGACCTCCTGGCTCACGTACCAGTGTGTTAGTGGATTTCCCTCAGACAGAAACACAGACCCGCTGACACACAGGAGTGTGGTGGTACTAAGCTGTGTCCTGGTGTTGACATTCAGAGAAGCAACAGATAGCAGGATCCCTGTATGCAGCAGCGAGTGCCGGGATGAATGAATAATAGGACAGGGTACTCACGAAGGTCACTGCAGCTGCTTTTAGCAAACTGACATGCCTGGTGAGGTCTAGGAGAGAGAGGAGGCACCCACGGCTGTTGCTTGGGAGCCGTCTGTGCAATGGAGGCGGTTGTTTTTTATTTCTTTTTCACACAACTAGAAAATGTATTGGCTCACACAAGAAGCCTAGAGCAAAGCAGTACCAAGGCTCTGGTTCAGTATATCTGGAACTCTCTTGTTTTCTCCACTGCTCATGTGCTGGCTTCATCCTCAGGCTTGTAGTAGGAAGGTTATAGCAGTTCAAGGCAACATATCCAGTCACGACAATGTCTGGAGGGAGAAGGATGACTTTTTTTCTTGTGACTCTTCCTTAAAAGCAAGGAAACCTTTTCCAGAAGCCCCAGGCAGGATTACCCTCATATTCTATTCCAGAACTGCCTCACATGACCCTTTCCTAAACTAATGACTGGGAGGGGAGCACGATCACCATGCCTGGCCAGAATCATATTCTCGGCAGGGGCTGGGGTTCACTTTTCTCTGAGCCTGCGAGGTGGTGGATACCTGGAACAGAATGGGGGTTCTGCTGGGAAGGGAGAAGGAGAGAAAATGAACGTTGGGCAAATGGGCAGCAATGCCCACTACAGACCACGAGGTCACTTTGTCAGGCCTGGCTCATTCTCCAGCTCTGCCTGCAGCTGGCACAATCAACTCACCAGGCAGGCTCAGCCCACGCCCCCATTCCTACCTCCATTCCCCGCCATCCTCCAGTCTGAGGGCCACTTCTAACCTGAAGTAGGGATACTTTAAGTAGTAGGTGAAGAATCTGGGTCATGTTCGCCATCAGTCTGGCCCTCAACTGGGTGTGTTTTCATCTGTAAAGAGGCTGTCCTATGCTGAGTCCCCTTGTCCTGCCAGAGAAGCCTCCTGAGGGCAACCTCAAGGCAGGCGCTGTTCTAGAACTGCAAAGATAATCACAGAGACACCAGAGCCATGGCGCAGGGCTGGCCCGAATGCTGGAAGAGCTGGGCAGATCCACTCTGGACAAAGGAGAGAAGCATCACACTGGGCGGCCCTGATCTCACAGCCAGTGGGAAGAGAACCAGCTTGGGATGCTCCAGAGGGATCTGGCCATCCATGAAGCTGGACTCATGGGTTTGTCCTTTCTGCCCCAGGTGACTCTCGGTCATTCAAATCCATGTTTTTAAAATAAAGCAATCAAATCTGAAAGCATGAGCAATTGGGACACCCCAGCAGGATTCCCCCATTCCCTACCCTAGCCGACTGTCTTAGACAAGGGGAGCCCAGGTGGGTTTTGAGTCTCCACCCCTTCAGGTGTGAAAAAAATTAAGAACATGGAATGTGAGTGACTTCCTTTATCCATCCACAGCTCCAACTGGGCCGGGCAAGAGCCCTACCTGCTGGCAACCTGGGGTCGGGGGGCCAAGGGGAAACTGTGTGGCCCTCTAAGGGCAAAGGAAGGCAGGAGTAGGGGACAGAGAACCACAAACTTAACTGGAGCCTTGGGGAGCAGGTCTAGCAAGGGTGACCCCGTGGGTGGCTGAAGAGTGTTTTCTTAAGGGACTGCAACGAACAGCCACCAACAATTTAAGTCAAGGGACAGAAGTGCAGACAACTGGCCTTCTGC